>NC_000002.12:25540058-25691573 GCF_000001405.40 Homo sapiens | reverse complement strand
AGCATGTCAGACAGCTGTGGGACAATGACTTTAAGATTCTTAGAAACACCTTTTTCTAGCTGATGGGGCTATTTGGCACCATCTTAAATCTCTTTGAGGTCTTAAAGAGTCTTACAGCCTCAAACTTAATTTGATCTTTACCCTAAAGCTATTTCTTTGCAACCGTTTTGTGTAGTAGAGAGACTAGAAATCTGACATTTTATTTTACAACCCAGCACATCCCAGCCCCTCTGTGTGTTTCTTTTAAATTCTGTTTGCAAACTGAATAGTTCCTCCTTTGGAAGCTTATGGTTAAAGCTTCTTAAAAAAGACAATTTACCATTCTACCTGGAAATTTCTTTAGCTGGATTAACAAGTTAATTAGGTATGTTTCCTTATTTATTTATTTATTTTTTTGAGACGGAGTCTCTCTCTATTGCCCAGGCTGGAGTGCAGTGGCACAATCTCACTTCACTGCAACCTCCACTTCCCAGGTTCAAGCAATTCCCCTGCCACCCGAGCAGCTGGGATTATGGCATGCACCACCTCACCCAGCTAATTTTTGTATTTTTAGTAGAGACAGGGTTTCACAGGCTGGTCTCGAACTCCTGACCTCAAGTGATCCGCCCACCTCAGCCTCCCCAAGTGCTGGGATTACAGGTTTGAGCCACGGTGCCAGGCCCACTAGGTATGTTTCCGATCGGTGACTACAGATGACAGTTTTGCAGCACTACTTCCACTACTCCAATTCTCCCCTCCACTCATTGTTTCAGTGCTGCGACACACAACGCTGCGACGCACAAGCCACTGTCCCTCCAGCCTCCGGCAGCCGTTGCCTCCTGGACCCTCTGGACTGCACCAACAACCTCCTTGCCACCCTTCTAGCCTCCGTTTGCCACGTAGTCCAAAGCCAAATCTGCATGCTTTGTTTTATTACAGCACTCTCTTCTCCTGGGTACCAACTGCTGTCTGTAATCTATTGCTGCATAACACATCACCCCAAAACTTTTAGTCTTAAAATAATATCAGTTTATTGTTTCTCTCAATTCCATAGGTCAGCTGGAAGGTCCTCTGCTGGCATCACCAGGGCCCAGAGAAGTGGCTGCAATTAACGATAAGGTCAGCTGGCCTGGAACACCCAAGATGGTCTCATTCCCATGCCTGACAGTAGGTGCTGCCTAGCAGCAGGAGTGCCTCAGTTTCCCTCCACAAGGCCTTTCATATTCCATTAAGCTAGACTGGCTTCCTTACAAGGCAGTCCCAAGGCAGTGTGCCAAGAGAGCAAGCCTTAATGGGTAAGTATTTATCCAGTCTTTGCTTGTGTCGTGTGTGCATTGCTTTAAGTCACATGGCAGAGTCAGAGTCCCTGTGGGAGGGGAACACAGAAGAGCATGCATACCAAGAGGTGTGACTCATTGGGGACCATCACTGTGACAGTCTACCATACCAGGGCTCCACATAGAATGGGTCTTTTCTTCCTTTGGGCTCCCATAACTCTCTGAAGCTCTATTAAAAAGCACTCAACAGTCAGGCATGGTGGCTCACACCTGTAATCCCGCACTCTGGGAGGTAGGGGCAGGAGGATTGCTTGAGCCCAGGAGTTCAAGCCTGGGCAAAACAGTGAGACCCTGTCTATACAAAAAATATTTAACAATTAGCCAGACATGGTGGTGCACACCTGTGATCCCAGCTACATGGGAGGCTGAGGTGACAGAATTGCTTGAACTCAGAAGGTCAAGGCTGCAGTGAACTGTGTTCGCTCCACTGCACTCCAGCCTGGGTGAAGAGTGAGACCCTGTCTCCAAAAAAAAAAAAACAAAAAAAAACATAGTCTCTTGAAAATTATCAGTTCCATATAACTCACTTGCCATCTTTAAGCTGCTGCTTTTTTTTTTTTTTTTGAGACAAGGTCTTGCTCTGTCACCCAGGCTGGAGTACAGTGGCACAATCATGGCTTATTGCAACCTCAAACTCCTAGCTCATGTGATCCTCCTGCCTCATCCTCCCAAGTGGCTGGGACTACAGGCGCATGCAACCGCACCTGGCTAATTTATTTTTATATTTATTTTGTAGAGACAGGGTTTCATCATGTTGCCCATGCTGGTCTCAAACTCCTGGCCTCAAGCGATCTTCCCACCTGAGCCTCCCAAAGTGCTGGGATTGCAGGCGTGAGCCACCATGCCTGGCCTTTAAGCTTCTTTAAGCAGAAATGTCCAGGTCTATTTTTAATCCTATCTTCTATTTCATAGCCTAGTATGGGGCAGATATTCATACAATTTTTTTTTTCTTTTGAGATGGAGTCTTGCTCTGTCACCAGGCTGTGAGTGCAGTGGCGTGATCTCGGCTGACTGCGACCTCCGACTCCCTGGTTCAAGCGATTTTCCTGCCTCAGTCTCCCAAGTAGCTGGGATTACAGGCACACGCCACCACACCCAGCTAATTTTTTTTTTTTTTTTTTTTTTTTGTATTTTTAGTGGAGACAGGGTTTCACCATGCTGGCCAGGCTGGTCTGGAACTCCTGACCTCGTGATCCACCCGTCTCGGCATCCCAAAGTGCTGGGATTACAGGTGTGAGCCACCACGCTCGGCATATTCATTCAATTATCAACTGCTAGTGAAAGAGTACTAGCAACACAGTGCAGGGCATTGGTGTTTGTGTAGGGTTTGCAAGGGGTTCCTTCTTGGTGTTTCTCACCAGATATTCAAAGTACTGCACAGGTTCTGAATCTCCTTGGCTCTATGACTGTCCCAGCTTCCTGAAAAGTCGTGAAAGGCTGGCCGGCTGCGGTGGCTCATGCCTGTAATCCCAGCACTTTGGGAGGCCGAGGTGGGCGGATCACGAGGTCAGGAGATCGAGACCATCCTGGCTAACACGGTGAAACCCCATCTCTACTAAAAATACAAAAAATTAGCTGGGCGAGGCGGCGGGCGCCTGTAGACCCAGCTACTCAGGAGGCTGAGGCAAGAGAATGGAGTGAACCCCAGGGGGCGGAGCCTGCAGTGAGCGGAGATCACGCCACTGCACTCCAGCCTGGGTGACAGCAAGACTCCGTCTCAAAAAAAAAAAAAAAAAGTCGTGAAAGGCTGTTGGCTGGCAGAAATATGGTTTCAGCTATGTTAGTCTACAAGCAGAAAAAGCCTGGTTCATCATAATCACAATTAACACCTGCACTGCAGCCAGGTGCAGACCCTGTAAGGCCCAATCAGAAAGCCCACACCTGCCTCTCATCACTCACAGCCACAGCTCTTCGACTTATTTATGTCTTCTGACCATGATTCCTGGGTTTTGAAGAACTTGAAGTTGTCCAGGCATGGTGGCTTATGCCTGTAATCCCAGGACTTTGGGAGGCCAAGCTGGGAGGATGACCTGAGGTCAAGAGTTCGAGACCAGCCTGACCAACATGGTGAAACCCCATCTCTACTAAAAATACAAAATTAGCCAGGCGTGGTGGTGCATGCCTGTAATCCCAGCTACTTGACGGGGCTGAGGCAGGAGAATCACTTGAACAGGGAGGCGGAGGTTGGAGTGAGCCAAGATGGCACCATTGCACTCCAGCCTGGGCAACAAGAGCAAAACTCCATCTCAAAAAAAAAAAAAAAAAGAGAGAGAGAACTTGAAATCTAGGTCAGGAAACAGAATGGGCATATGTGAAACAACACCAAACTGCTTATGAAGCAACATGACAACAAATGCAAACATCAGTACATCTCAACTATGTCTAAACACAAACGGGATAAAACATAGATGTGATCAGAGTAGAGTGAAGTTAACACTAAGAAAGCTGTCTTCTCTGAGAAGTGATGTTTGAGTTGGGTCTTGAGATGGGTTACGGACAGATATTGAAGGAGACAATAGGTGCTCTAGGTGGAAATGGTGTCTATGGAAGTATGAAGCCAAGTGGGTGAGGCAGGAGATCAACACTTGATGTGTGGAAGGGGGCAAAGCACATCCTAGAGGTAAACAACAAGAAGGGATGAAGCTGGTGGGGACATAAGCAAGGCGACAGAGGAAACAGAATGCCTGGAAAAGTCTTGGCGGACTAAATTGAACTGCACCCAGCGGGTATCTGGGGACCTGAAATGGCCTTTCTACATGAAGCTGCTTTCTTTCTTTCTTTTTTTTTTTTTTAAAGAGACTGGGCCTCTCTCTGTCACCCAGGCCAGAGTGCAGGGATATGATCATAGCTCACAGCAGCCTCGAGCTGCTAGCTTCAGGCAATCCTCCTGCCTCAGCCTCCTGAGTATCTGGGACTATAGGTGCATGCCACCACACCTGGCTAATTTTTATATTTTTTGTAGTGATGGAGTCTCACTATGTTGTCCAGGCTGGTTTCAAACTCCTGGGCTCAAAGGATCCTCCCCAAGTTGGCATCCCAAAGTGTTGGGATTCCAAGCGTGAGCCACCGTGCCTGGCCTGAAGTTTCTTTCTGGAGAGTTCCTCACATTACAGCGAAGTAATTCTGCTTTTTAAGTAGCTGAAGAGCTAGTGTTGTATAAGGGAGCCATATGCCCCAAAAGGAGCCCAGAATGGATGTGGTGTCAGAAAGTTCGCCCAAAGCTGCAGGACATGGGTCTCCCTGTGTGCCGACTGGGAATCTGGACAGGAACTGGTGGCACTTTTCCTTTTTGCAGTCTGGGCTTTTTGATCCTACATCTTTGCAAAAGACAGGAACATTTCAATGGGAGAGAAAGGAGTTTTCTAGACAAACAGTGGCTCTGATGCATATTGGAAGACCTTTCCTATGACATGCAATGAAGCCACAGAGGCCCCTGAGTAGACCTAGGGAAGCACTCCTTTCCCCAGGAACTGGCCTTATGGAGTTTGCCTTAAAAAGGTAATGATTTGGGCATGGTGGCTCACGCCTGTAATCCCAGCACTTTGGAAGGCCGAGGTGGGGGGATCACTTGAGGCCAGGAGTTTGAGACCAGCTGGGCCAACATGGTGAAACCTGATCTTTACTAAAAATACAAAAATTAGCTGAGCGTGGTGGTGCCCGCCTGTAATCCCAGCTGCTCGGGAGGCTGAGGCAGGAGAATCACTTGAACCCAGGAGGTTGCAGTGAGTGAAGATTGCGCCACTGCACTCCAGCTTGAGTGACAGAGTGAGACTCTGTCTTAAAAATAAATAAATAAAAAATAAACCAGCTGAGCCTCCCCTCCCTCCCCCACCACCATGCAGGGGCAGCCTGGACGTATTTCAGACCTCGTGCGCTGAGCCGGCGGAATGGTCTTTGCTTCTATCCCAGCTTGTCTCCAGTGCCCTTTGCCCTCTTCCTACAGCCAGGACCCCTTCAAGTAATTAGCTTTATCAAGTGGAGATGCTCAGTGCTTCTCTACTCCGGCTGCACATTATACCACTTGGGGTCACTTAAAAAAATTCCGGCCAGGCACAGTGGCTCATGCCTGTGATCCTAGTGCTTTGGGAGGCTGAGGCCAGAGGATTTCTTGAGCCTAAGAGTTTGAGGCCGCAATGAGCTATGGTTGTGCCACTGCACTCCAAAGCCTGGGTGACAGAGCAAGACTGTGTCTCTTAAAAAAAAAAATTAGCTCATCTAGATGAACTGTGGGGCCCAGATGTATTTTCTCAAAAGCACACCAGGTGATAGGTATGTGAGAACACCTTGAATGACCCTTGAGCCAGTTTAGAAAGTTTTGTCAACATAGAATTTGTTGACATTTTCAGGTGTCTGACAACACTACATAAATAAATAGCCTTTGGTAAACTAACAAAACCTGTAATACACTCTTCCTTGGATACTCTGGCCTCTGGATTGCCTTTTGGAGTAATTCTTGGGGATATTTTGGGGTGCCATCTAGCCTCTGGCCTCATGAGCTTTGCACGGTGTGGCAGAATGATAGCTACTCACACCTGTGATCCTAGCACCCAGAAAATACTACAATAGAAGTCTCGCTAGCTATCCAGTCCAGTCCAAACTTCAGCTTGACACCTAAGGACGGTTTTATTGAAGAACACAACTGCTGTTCACAAGATAAATCTTAGAAAGTTTTGTCTTGAAAGGTTTTCCATGTGATTTGTCACAGGCTCTCATAATCCACAGGTTAATACAGAGAGTAAAGACCAACACCACCGTCCAGCACTGCCTCTCTTCCCAGCCCTCCGAATCCCACCCAGAGGCCCACGAGCTGGTCTTCTGTGCCATCTTCATTCCACATTTGGACAAGACGGAGGACTCATGTGTCAGCCTCTGGGGGTAAGGATATCCACGTTATCTGCCACGCAAAATAGCAGTTCCTATTCATTTCTTCCAAATCTGCCTCTGTCAACCACTGATGGCGCGCTATCCTGTACTGCTGGTACTGTGAGATTCGGCACCATTGTCTGTGTTCTGACTGTGCACACCTTTGGCGTGTCACGGCCAAGCTCTCACTTTCCGCTGAAGGATGGAGTTTGGTTTTTTTTGCCTCCTGTGAAGGACCCGCTTTCTGCTAATCATTTTAATTACTCTCTCCTGGAGCCCTTCCAGTCCTGTCACGCCATCTGTAAATGGCAGAGAACAGAACGACACACATTATGGTGTCAATTTATAATAATTTGGTACCAAGATGCAATCATGATGTTTTGTTTTTAGTATTGCTATCTGCATGTTCTTGATTTTTTTGGCGGGGTGGGGGTGGGGGTGGGAGGAGGAGGCTGGAAGCCAGGGCAGGCTGGATGGTGGATTTACAACTTTAAGTAATGGTTTTCAGTTCATTAAATTGTTTTCCTTCAGCTGTTATTACCTTCCTCTTGCCCACACTGACACTCAGCGGGCAGGTGTCTGCCCTCCCACGCAGCTCGGTCACATCCCACGCAGCCTCCTTTCTGCCACTCTCAGCTCACTACCTGGCACATGACCTTGGAGATTCCACTGCGCACCTCTTCCCCCAGATCATTTATCACTATGGTAATTAAGACTTAGATGTTCAGACTGTGGAATGAAAATAGAACAGATTCTAGCGCAGATTTTTAAAAATATTTTTCTTCCTGCCTCCAAAAAAGTACATGTTCATTTAAGACAATTTTGAAAATACAAACAAATGCAAAGAAAATTAAAATAATTCTTAATCCTATTACCCAGAGACAACTTCTTCTAATATTTTGGTTTATATTCACCCAGTCTTATTCAAGGAACACAACAAACACACACTCTTTCCCTTTATCTTTGAAAAATATGATATTTGATACATACAAAGAATATATGTAACATTACACCCCCTGCCCCAAAAATCAAAACATTATAAATCATGGCAATAATTGTCATTTACCTATGTGCACCCCTTGGTCTTGCACTTCCTCTCATGGAGTGGGAGTATCATCCTCTTGCCTTATTAAAGTAATTTTAAAAATTGTTTGTGTTTATTTGATTTTAAGCCTTGTAAAAATGGTGACATGCGATGAGTCATATGTTTCTTGCTTTCTTCACTAAGAAAAATGTTGGTTCAATTTATCCATGTTGTGTTATGCAAATGCTCTTTTATTTTTGCTGCTGTTTAATATTTCCGCTGTGGAGATATACACATTTATGCATTCTTTCTTCTCTTGCTGGCCATTTGGATTGTTTTTATAAGTACTAAGAACAGGCTGGGCGTGGTGGCTCACGCCTGTAATCCCAGCACTTTGGGAAGCTGAGGTGGGCAGATTGCCTGAGCTCAGGAGTTCAAGACCAGCCTGGGCAACATGGCAAAACCCTGTCTCTATGAAAAATACAAAAATTAGCCAGGCATGGTGGTGCACACTTGTGATCCCAGCTACCCTGGATGCTGAGGCATAAGAATTGCTTGAACCTGGGAGGCGGAGGTTGCAGTGAGACCAGATTGTGCCACTTCACTCCAGCCTGGGTGACAGAGCAAGACTGTCTCCAAAAAATAAAAATAAATAAATAAATAAGTACCAAGAAGAGTGCAGTGATTGTGTATTCCTCTTGGTGCATGCATGAAGAGTGTCTTTGGGGTTGAATAGCTAGATATAAGGTATATAGAATTTCAACTTTGTTAAGCATTGCCAAAATGGTTGTACTGATTTATACTCTCAGCATTACTGTATAAGAGTTTCCAATTGATTAGGCTTTTTTCCAGCATTTGGAATTGTGAAACTTTAAATCTTGCCATTCTAGTAGGTGTATGACTTTGTAGTATTAATTTGCATTTTCCTGAATACTAATGAATTGAGGATCTTTTTCTATGTTTATTGGCCATGTGTTTTCTCTTCCATAAAATATCTATTTACATGCTTGCCCCTCTTTCTATTGTGTTGTCTCACACTTTTTTTTTTTTTTTAAAGACAAGGTCTCACTCTGTCACCCAGGCTGGAGTGCAATGATGCGATCTTGGCTCACAGCAACCTCCACCTCCGGGGTTCAAGCAATTCTCCTGCCTCAGACTCCTGAGTAGCTGGGACTACAGGCATGCACCACCACGCCCGGCTAATTTTTTTTTTTTTTGTATTTTTAGTAGAGACGGGGTTTTACCATGTTGCCAGGCTGCTCTGGAACTCCTGACCTCTGGTGATCCACCCGCCTCAGCCTTCCAAAATGCTGGGATTACAGATGTGAGCCACTTCTCCCAGCCCTCACATATATTTTTAAACAAAATTTGAGTCACACTACATATACCATTTTACATCATCTAAAACATTCTTTTACAGTGTTATTTTAATGATTTGGGACTCTTCTATCTCATAATTTAATCAGAGCCCTGTAAGTATTTTTTTAATTTTGGTTTTTAGAAATAACTCTTGAAAGATATTTTATTGCATACATTTAATTACACATCACTGAATGTTTTCATACAATAAGTTCTAAGAATTGAGATTTCTGAGCCTGGGAAACATGGTGAAACCCTGTCTCTACAAGAAAATGCAAAAATTAGCTGGGCATAGTGGCATGTACCTGTAGTCTCAGCTACTCGGGAGGCTGAGGTGGGGGGACTATCGGAGCCTAGGGAAGTCCAGGCTGCAGTGAGATATGATTGCACCACTGCACTCCAGCCTTGATGACAGAGCAAGATCCTGTCTCAAAACAAAACAAAACCAAAAAACCCAATAATATATCTTGGAAATGACTACATATCAGTCAGTAAAGATCTTCTTCATTCCTTTTGATGGCTTCCTAGTATCCCATTGTATTTAAGTACCATAATGTATTCAACTAATCTTTTATGTTTGGGTATTTAGGTAGTTTCCTATGCAAATACAAATATTTTTCCAAATTATGGTGCAATGAAGAAACTTACATATGTAAGTATGCCTATGTATTTCGGAGGTATCTTTAGCATAAATTCCTAGAAGTGGGAGTGCTAGGCTGAAATGTAAATGTACAAATCGTTTCATTAAATCTTACCAAATGCTTCTCCATAAGGGCTATACTATTTTTTATTTCTTACAGCAATGTGTTTTTCCATAATCTCACGACAGAGCACAAATATTCAATTGCTCCAACACCATTTTTTTGTTTTCTTTGAGGAGTCTCACTCTGTTTCCCAGGCTGGAGTACAATGGCGGTGATCTTGGCTTACTGCAACCTCCGCCTCCTGGGTTCAAGCGATTCTCCTGCCTCAGCCTCCTGAGTAGCTGGGATTATGGGCGCCCACCACCACGCCCGGCTAATTTTTGTATGTTTTAGTAGAGACAGGGTTTCACCATGTTGGCCAGGCTGGTCTTGAACTCCTAACCTGAAGTGATCTGCCTGCCTCGGCCTCCCAAAGTGCTGGGATTACAGGCATGAGCCACTGCATGCAGACTCCCAACACCATTTATTAAAAAGCCCATCTTTGCCTCAGCCATTTGACTGTTTATTATCTACTGGATTTTCCTAAGCAGTAAGTTAATTTCTGAACTTTCTATTTGATTTCATTGGTCTGCCTATTCATGTGCCAGAACCACACTGTTTTCATTAAAAAAACTATATAGCATGTTTTAATATTTGCTAGGGCTAGTCTCCTCTCATACCTCTTTCTTTTCTGTGTCTTACTAGTTATCCTTGAGTGTTTATTTTTCCACATAAACTTTGATATCAACTTGTATAGCTACAGAAAAAATTGTTTATATTTTTTGGAGAATCATATTAAATTTATAAATTAACATAAGGAGAATTGTTATCTTAATAATGTTAGGATATTTTAAACAAAACCAAGTGATGTCTTGTTCAAGCATACACATACATCTTTGAGGAGGGTTTTATCGTTTTATTTTTTGATAAAAGCAGCTGGTGGCTGGGTGCTGTGGCTCACGCCTGTAATCCCAGCACTTTGGGAGGCCGAGGCAGGCGGATCACGAGGTCAGGAGATCGAGACCATCCTAGCTAACATGGTGAAACCCCGTCTCTACTAAAAATACAAAAAAAATTAGCCGGGCGTGGTGGTGGGCGCCTGTAGTCCCAGCAACTGGGGAGGCTGAGGCAGGAGAATGGCGTGAACCAGGGAGGCGGAGCTTGCAGTCAGCCAAGATCGGGCCACTGCACTCCAGCCTGGGAGACAGAGTGAGACTCCATCTCAAAAAAACAAAAAACAAACAACCAAACAAACAAAAAACAGCTGGCTGGGTGCAGTGGCACATACCTATAATTCCAGCACTTTGGGAGGCCAAGGCGGGAAGATGACTTGGGCCCAGCATTTCAAGATCAGCTTAGACAACATTGTGAGATCTTGTCCCTACAAAAAAAGTAAAAAATTAGCTGGGTGCAGTGGTGCACACCTGTGGTCCCAGCTACTTGGGAGAGAGGCTAAAGTGGGAGGATTGCTTCAACCTGGGAGGTCGAGGCTGCAGTGAGCTGGGTGACACTGTACTCCAGCCTGGGCAACAGAGTAAGACCCTGTCTGAAACAACAACAGCAACAACAACAACAAAGAAAAAAAAAACAACTTTTTTAGATAAAATTTACAAACCTTATAATTCACCCATGTAAAGTTTACAATTAAATGGTTTTTAGTATATTAACAAGAGTTGTGCAACCATCACCACGATCAACTTAAGAACATCCTCATCACTTCCAAAAGCAATCCCATACCCACTGGCAGCTACTCCTCACTCCCTCCAACCTCTCCAGCCCCATGCATCCACTAATATCCTTTCTGTCTCTACAGATTTGCCTATCCTAGACATTTCATAAAATGGAATCAGGCTGGGTGTGGTGGCTCATGCCTGTAATCCCAGAACTTTGGGAGGCCGAGGCGGGCAGATCACGAAGTCAGGAGTTCGAGACCAGTCTGACCAACATAGTGGAAACCCCGTCTCTATTAAAAAAATACAAAAATTAGCTGGGCGTGGTGGTGGGCGCCTGTAATCCCAGCTGCTCGGGAGGCTGAGGCAGAAGAATCGTGTGAACCCAGGAGGCAGAGGTTGCAGTGAGCCAAGATCGTGCCACTGCACTCCATCCTGGGCGACAGAGTGAGACTACATCTCAAAAAATAAATAAAATAAAATAAAATGGAATCATACGATATGTAGTCTTCAGTGACTGGCTTCTTTCACTTAGCATATAATGTTTTCAGGGTTTATCTATGTGGCAGCATGTATCAACACTCCATTCTTTTTTTTATTGTCCAGTAACAGTCATCTGGTGGGATGAAGTGGTATCTCATTGTGTTTTTGATTTGCATATCCCTAATAGTTAATCAAGTCAAGCATCTTTCTGTGTGCTTATTGTTCTTCTGTATATCTTCTTTGGAGAAATGTCTGATCAAATATTTTGCCCATTTTGCAATTGGGTGATTTGTTTTATAATTGTTGTGTCTATTCCTTATATATTTTGGATATAAGTCCCTTATTACATATATTATCTGGAAATATTTTTGCCCATTCTGTTGGCTGTCGTTTCATCTTCTTGACAGTATATTTTGACGTACAAAAGTTTTAAATTTTGATAACGTCTAATGTATTTATATTTTCTTTTGTCATTTGCCTTTACCAGCCCCAAGGTAATGAAGATTTACAGCTCTGTTTTCTTCTAAGAGTTTCTTAGCTTTTACATTTAGGTTGTTGAAGTCCTAATCCCCGGTACCCCAGAATGTAACTATATTTGGAGATAGGATCTTTAAAGAGGTAATTAAGTTACATGAGGTTATTAGAGGTGGGTCCTACTTCAATAGGACTAGCGTCCTTATAAGAAGAGGAGGTAGGCCTGGCGCAGTGGTTCACGCCTGTAATCCCAGCACTTTGGGAGGCCGACACAGGCGGATCACTAGGTCAGGAGATCGAGACCATCCTGGCTAACATGGTGTGAACCTGGGAGGCGGTGCTTGCAGTGAGCCGAGATCACGCCACTGCACTCCAGCCTGGGTGACAGAGCGAGACTCCATCTCAAAAAAAAAAAACCAATTTTTTTTTTTTGCAGTGGCCAGGCATGGTGGCTCACTCCTGTAATCCCAGCACTTTGTGAGGCTGAGGCGGGAGAATCACCCGAGGTCAGGAGTTTGAGACCAACTCCGTCTCTACTAAAAATAAAACAAAAATTAGCCGGGTGAGGTGGCATGCACCTGTAATCCCAGTTACTTGGAAATCGAGGCAGGATAATCGCTTAAACCTGGGAGGCGGAGGTTGCAGTGAGCCGAGATCACACCACTGCACTCCAGCCTGGGTGACAGAGCATGACTGTCTTAAAAAAAGAAAAAAAAAATTTTCTTTTTTTTAGACGTGGGGTCTTACCATGTTGCCCAGCCTGGTCTTGAACTGATAGGCTCAAGCAAACTTTCCTCCTCTGCTTCCCAAAGTGTTGAGATTACAAGCATAAGCCACCATGCCCCACCCTTGCCAACATCTTGACCTAGGACTTGTAGCCTCCAGAACTATGAAAAGATGAATTTCTGTTCTTTAAGCCAACCAGTCTGAATACTTTGTGATGGCAGCTCTAGCAGACTAATACATAAACCCCACTTGGATCATGGTATATTATTTTCTTAAATCATACAGGCCTTGTGTTTTGTGATGTGCTTACTTGATAAATTTATTCCTTTTCGTCTAGTATAGGGGTGGCAAACTGTAGCTCATGGGCCAAATCCAGCTCCAAGTCTGTTTTTGTAAATATAATTTTATTGGAACATAGCCACGCCCACTTATTGACATATCATGTATGGTTGCTTATGTGCTACAGTAGCAGGCTGGTGTAGTTAGACTACCAAACCTAAAATGTTTACTATCAGATGCTTTAGAAAAATTTGCTGACCCTGCTCTACTAGATGCTTAAGATGGGCTTGCATGTGCAGTATTCTTTGAGTTGTGCATTTTGTAAACAGTTCTTTTTTATCGACTAGATGTTTTAAAAACAGCATGAATGGATGGATATAAAATCCTTGGCTTGCATCTTTGTTCCTTAAGTTTCCAGAAAATGCTGAAAATGCTGTATCACTACTGCCTTGCTTGTTTGTTGTTCTTGAGACGGGTGATGCCAACTATTTTGGCTACCAGACTCCATAATAAACCACCTACCCTAAAAAGAATGGCTTCAAGTAAGAACCATTTTAATTATAATTTCACAGTCTTTGGAGTTAGGAATTTGGGTAGGGCTTGGCTGGATGATTCTTCTGTTCCCTGTGGCTTCAACTGAGGTCACTCAGTGGTATTCTGCTGATGTAGGGCTTTCATGACGATTTCACTCATACCAGCAAGAATCAGCTAGGTCCTCTCCTTCTCCATGTAGGACCTTTCTGGGGAGTTACATATTTTACATAGCAGCTTGGGGCTTTAAGAATAAGTGTTCTGGCCAGGCACGGTGGCTCACGCCTGTAATCTCAGCACCTTTGGAGGCTGAGGCGGGTGGCATGAGGTCAGGAGTTCAAGACCAGCCTGGCCAATATGGTGAAACCCCGTCTCTACTAAAAATACAAAAATTAGCCAGGTGTGGTGGTGGGTACCTGTAGTCCCAGCTACTCGGGAGGCGGAGGCAGGAGAATCGCTTGAAACCGGAAGGCAGAGGTTGCAGTGAGCAGAGATCGTGCCACTGCACTCCAGCCTGGGTGAAAGAGTGAAAGTCCATCTCAAAAAAAAAAAAAAAAAAAAAAAAAAAGTGTTCCCAAAGACCAAAGACCCAAACTCAAGTGGACACTTAAAGACTTTTTGTGAACTGGGATTAGAAATCCCAGAATATTGCATGTTCTATTGGCCGAGCAATTCAGTAAGGCCATCCTGGATGGAGAGGAATGATAAAAAAAAAAATTGGCAGCCACGTTTAAAGTCCCGCAGCCCAATTTTCTTTTCTTTCTTTTTTTTTTTTTTTGAGGCAGATTTTCGCTCTTGTTGCCCAAGCTGGAGTGCAATGGCGCAATATCGGCTCACTGCAACCTCCGCCTCCCGGGTTCAAGCGATTCTCCTGCCTCAGCCTCCCGAGTAGCTGGGATCACAGGCGTGCACCACCACACCCGGCTAATTTTGTGCATTTTTAGGAGAAACAGGGTTTCACCATGTTAGCCAGGCTGGTCTCGAACTCCTGACCTCAGGTGATCTGCCCACCTCAGCCTCCCAAAGTGCTGGGATTACAGGTTTGAGCCACCGCACCTGGCCTGCAGTCCAATTTTCTTACCCTTTTAAACAATTTGAACTTTGTACCTGCAGACCTTGAAGATTATTATTATTATCAGTTTAACACTGTAAATAGCATAGCTCTCAGAGTTCAGCCTCTGGCAATTTTCCCAGGTAAATGTAGGCCTTATAGGTTTATATCTTATTTTCAGAAAGATTCTTAGATTATAGCTTCGACATATGTAGCACCCCAGTGACACATATGTTGGATATTCTTTGCTTGTATTCAAATGACATTCCAAAAAGAGACAGAAACAAGCACAAAGGTGTGGAGCCAAGGGGAAGTGGAAACATTCCAGGAGTTTGTATGGTGTGTGTGGAGGAAGCAATAGACGATGGATTGGAGAGAATGGGCAAGGGCTAGATTAAGGGAAGTGCTAGACAGTGACACCAGGGGTGGTAAATTTTTGAAAGCTTTCTCTAATCTGCAGCATGGAAGATGGATTGGAAGCAGCAAGACTGGCAGGGAGACCACATAAAAAGCTGCTGCATGGCCAGGCGCAGTGGCTCACGCCTGTAATCCCAGTACTTTGGGAGGCCAAGGCAGGTGGGGATCACTTGAGGCCAGGAGTTTGAGACCAGGCTGGTCCACATGGTGAAACCCCGTCTCTAACTAAAAATATAAAAATTAGCCAGGCATGATGATGGGCATCTGTAATCCCAGCTACTCAGGAGGCTGAGGCAGGAGAATCGCGTGAACCTGGGAGGCGGAGGTTGCAGTGAGCCAAGATCGTGCCACTGCACTCCAGCCTGGGTGACAGAGCGAGACTCCGTCCCAGAACAAACAAACAAAGCTGCTGCATTAGTTTAGGGGAGGTGGGCTAAGAGGGAAAGATTCTAGTTATTTATTTATGAGGAAGCATCAATGGGACTTAGTGGTTGTTGGGTATGGAGTCAGGGCAGAGGGGTGGTGGGAGAAGAAGGAATCAAGAATGGCCCCCCAGTTTCTGAATTGGTCAACTGGGTGGACAGTAGTTTAGACATGTAGAACGTGGGGTACCTCTAGGACACCCAGGTGGAGAAGTCTGGCGGGCTTTTGTGAATAAGGAACCCAGATGAGTGGCCTGAGCTAGAGAGAGTGCACTTGGGAGTTGCTGATATGCGGTAGATAAAGAAGCGGAGTGGATGGAATGGTCCAGGGAGAATGTGTGGCGTGAGACCAGCTGAGGAGAGAATCTGTGAAACTGAGAAGTGGTCACAGGGGTTAAGACAGGAGTCATGCCATGACACCAAGGGAGTTTCAGAAAGAGTGGGCTACTCTGTTCAATGTCACTGAGAGTTCTAACAATATGAGGACTCAGAGATGGCTTGTGGTATTTAGGATCCAACAAGCCATTCATGACTGAGAGCAATGCAGTGATGTGGTGTGGACAGAAACTACATAGGTTTGAGGAGCTGAGGAGCTGCTGAGGAGGTAGAGATGAGGGTAGATGACTTTCAAGATATTTATGAAGGAAAACTCAGAGAGGGACTAGTAACTGAAGCAGAATCTAGAGGGACAGCGAAAGGGTTTCTTCCTTTTTCTTGAGGACAGGAAAAGCTTAAACATGAATAGATGATGAAGGAAAGAGACAAGTAAAGAGAAGTTGGTAATTTTGGAGTGAGAGGGGGAGAATGATTGAAAGGTGTTTGAAAAGTTTTCTGAGGATGTGGGAGGTGAAGAAATAGAGAACAGAGATGGAGAGATGCCAATACAGTGTCCTTGAAGTATTTAATTCCCTTATGGTTTAGGATTGTCTAGTCCACATATTGAAATTACCTTGGTTTCAATCAATAAACCGAACATATCAAGCGATATTTACACATTTATTTTATATTATTTACACATCTTTTCTCCAAAGAACAGAATCAATGTTTTACCCCTCTCAATGCCTTCCACATAGGGGGTGCTCAAAAAGGGCAAATAAAGAAGCTAGAGGTCTCTTACCTGTATTCTGAGTATCTTAATATGTACAAAACATAGCCAAGACCGTGCCTACAAGAGATAAGTCTCCTCAAGCATGAAAATATTCACACACTTCATATATGTAAGGTAAAAGGTAAAATGTCCATCTTTATTTATTTATTTTGAGACGGAGTCTCACTCTCTTGCCCAGACTTGGAGTACAGTGGTGCGATCTCGACTCACTGCAACCTCTGCCTCCTAGGTTCAGGCGATTCTCCTGCCTCAGCCTCCCAAGTAGCTGGGATTACGGCGTACACCACCACGCCCGGCTAATTTTTGTATTTTTAGTAGAGACAGAGTTTCGCCATGTTGGCCAGGCTGGTCTCGAACCCCTGACCTCAAGTGATCCGTCTGCCTCAGCCTCCCAAAGTGCTGGGATTACAGGCGTGAGCCTCCGCGGCAGGCCAGAAAATGCTCATCTTTTGAGGAACCTATTTGTTCCCATTTAACAAAGTTGGTTATCAGCATTTCCTTCACCATAGGAGTTTAAAAATAAAAAGAGGAGAGGAGGAGGAAGAGGGTGTTCTAAAGGCAGGCAGGCAGGCAGGCAGGCAGCAGCAGGAGGTGGCACGATCTGCCTTACCGTAAGGTGCCAAAAAGCAGTGAAAACCATACTCCCAGCATGCAGGCCTGGGGTCGCTTAGCTCTGGAGCTTACAGCCTTCATCATTGACCAATAGCCCCCAAAGGACGTTGCTGTTTTGAGTCTTAAGTAACGTTGAGAATGACCATTTGAACCATTCAAAAAGTCCTTGCTATATTCTAATTTGGCACCATCTCCTGTATTTCACAGTTTGGAAAGAATTCTATAAAAGATGGATAACAGTAAAACACAAAAAAGCTGGTGCTGAGATGGTAAACCTGGCTGCCCCGGCTCCTTTGCCCAAACTGTTTTCCCAGCCCTAATGTCCTCCCTTTTTCCTCCTAGGACTTCTTTTTCTTCCTTCGAGGTTGACCATAAATGCCGCCTCTAGCCCTCTGCGGCGTCCAAGCAGAAGTCGTCTCTAGCTTCTGTGCCAGCATCGCACCGTGGCTTGGCTCTGCACGGGTCATCGGACTTGGTTGTGTACATGGCTGTTTTCCCCGCTAAGTTTGGGGCGCCTCGAGCCCAGGCGCCGTGACCGTGATCGTGCGCCCACAGGCACCTGGTGCAGCGCGGGGCGCACGCCGCGGCTGGGCTAGCTTGCGGAGTTCACGGGGGTCACTCGGGCACAGGCTTGTGACCCAGGCGCGGAGAATGATTCACGGGGTGGCTCTTTGCATTCTTTGTCGGGTAGTCACGTCGGGCCGGGCACCCCGCCGACGGATACCTGCGGATGGAAAGACACCCGGCCCGACGCCAGCGAGCGGGAGAAGCCTGGATGGAGCCAGCTTCCCGCCTGCCCGGAACCCGCCGGCGACCGGTGGGCGGGGCGCGGCCGCGGGGGCGGGGTGGAGGGGGGTTGCTCGGCCGCTCCCGCCCCCTCCCCGCGCGCGGAAGCCACGCCCCCGGCCGCGCGCTCGCGCTGGGCGCGCGCCCGCCCATCCGCCCTCCGCCCTCCGCCCTCGCGCCCTCGCGCCGGGGGCGGGCGCTGCGCGTGCCGGGCGGAGAAGCGGCGCGAGCCGGGCGCTGCGAACGTTCGCCGCGGGGGTGGCTCCGGGGCCTGAGTAGGCGCTGCCGCTGCCTCAGCCGAGGGGGCTGGGCCGGAGCGTGCGGAGGAGTGAGGCCGCAGGAGACCTTCCCGACGACCCCTGCTCCGGCGGGGAAGTGAGCAAGGTGGGGGTCTGCGGCCGCCGCCGGGGCTGTGGGGAGACGAGCTGGGCTGGAGCCTCGCGCCCGCGAGGTGCGGGACGGCAGCTCGCGCTGCGCCGGGACTGGGGACCCGGGAGCCTGCGGGTGCGGCGCTGCAGGAGTCGGGGAGGGCGCGGGGAGCCGGGGCCGCTGCACCGCGCGCGGCTGCGAGGTGGGACGGCGCGGCTAGCCCCGGAGGGACAGGCAGAGGGGATGCGGCGGATCCCGGGCCGGGAGGGGTATCGGGGTCCGGAACGCGCCGGGGCACGGGCGCGAGCGGGGGCCCGGCGCCGGGCTGATGCTGCCCGAGCCCGGCTCGCCTGGAGGCGGCTCTGCGTTAGGTGCTGAAGGGGCGAGTGAGGCAGGTCCTGGCAGAGGGCAGGTGAGGCGGGCAGGCCCTGGCAGAGGGAAGGGTATTTATTTCAGATCACCCCAAATCACTGTTTCCCGAGGCGCCTAATAGCGAACCTGTCCAGGAGGTCACCCTGGACAGGAAAGAAGTGTCCCGAGACGAGGATGCCGGTGACGAATACTTGCCCTTAAATTCCTGTGCCAGGCCTTGGGATTAGGAAGACCTTCCAGCTACCGTAGGTAGAGACCCGTAGTCAGCACTGGGGCCACGAAATAGTATGGAACACCGTCATGTTATTGAGGTGCTGACAGTGTGGCTGTGAAGATATGCACATGAAATACAAAGGAGCGTCGAATTTTATGTCGCATGCCCTATTTACTTTCGGTCTCTTTTGTCTTTTCCCAGTATTGGGAAATTGGAGCCATAAATTGCGTGGTTTTGGGGATAAAGCAGAAAGGTCAAAAGAAGCCTATGGGAGAAATTTGGGAGAGTTTTGAAGGCTCCTACGGGTAACATTTAAAGGGGGCTCTTAGATGGGGAAAAAAGACGTTTGGAAAGAAAGGAAGTTTCCTTCCTTCCCATCTAGAAATAAGCTCCATGACTATTGACTGCTAAATCTTCAGAATGTTGCCTGGCTCACAGCGGTTGAGCCATAAGTGTCTATTGCATGAATGAATGGACAAGCAAGGTTTGGCCACATTTGCCATGGAGCAGTGTCAGTCACTCTAGTGTTAGGGAAGGTTGCTGGATTTCTCCTGTTCCACAAGTTCTCTCTCTCTGCCTCTTTTTTTTTTTTTTTTTTTTTTTTTTTTTTTGCTATGCGAGGCAACCCC
This sequence comes from Homo sapiens, assembly GCF_000001405.40. Classification (NCBI taxonomy): domain Eukaryota; kingdom Metazoa; phylum Chordata; class Mammalia; order Primates; family Hominidae; genus Homo; species Homo sapiens. The sequence continues at coordinate 25,672,185 of NC_000002.12, read as the reverse complement.
GGTTCTGAGGTCTGGGCACGTTAAAGCAATGGCTAAGGCGGCGAGGTCTTGGTTTCTGTGGCCATGCTACCACTTTCCCATGTGTCTTTCATGTTGGCCTTCAAGAGCTTGCTCCTTGGCCTGTTGCTTGAGATCATCCCATTTTGTTCCTTCTCCCATTGGCTTTTTCTATTACTTGAGAAGGAAGAGGGTAGTGTTGTCTAGAGAACACTTTTTCATTTTGGTCCTGGTTCTTGGGTCTTAGACCTGTAGTGCGAGGCTGTTGGTGCCTCTGCTTTTCTGTAAGGGCTGGAATTCTACCTGTGCTCTGCCTTGGTTGAATCTCTGAACTCTGGAGCTCCAGGCTGCTGTTTCAGTAACCTGGGTTGCAGTGCCTGTTGGGTTACTTTGTCTGCCAAATTAAAACTTGACCTTTTATGAGTTCTCTAAGGATTTTTATCATGCATAAGTGGAATTGCCTTTGAAAGGGGTTGTGCAGTCAAGGTAGTGCTGGCAGAGTTTTTGGATGTCCACTATGCCCGAGAGACAAATTTCTACCTATGGTTAGAAAATTAGACTCAGAACCAAGAGAATTTCAACTTATTGTTTATTTTATGTCTTTATGTTACTCTCTCAGGGCCTTAGTTTCTTCGTGTGAAAAATAAGTAATAATCAAAATCTGGCATTGTATAGGAAGCCTTGAAGAAGTAAATTTATTTCTCCTGTTTCAGGGCTGTACAGCCAGCAGGTCTCTTGTTGAGAGGTGCCTAGGTTCTACAATATTGGGTGCCTTATTCCAGGCTCTCTCAATGATATTTTGTTTATGTATTTATTTTAAAACCAACTTTTTGACGTATAGTTGACAAAATAAAATGCACAGATTTCCCGTGTGCGGTTGGATGAGTTTTGGAAAAATGTGTACAGTAGTCCCCCCATTAGCCTCAGGGATATGTTCCAAGAGCACCAGTGGATGCCTGAAGCCACAGTTAATTCCAAACCCTATATAGACTGTTTTTTCCCTATACTTAAGTATCTATGATAAAGTTTTAACTTATAAATTAGTTGCCATGAGAGATTAATGACTTCTCTTAGGCATATGTTTGGCTTCTCTGTGGCATATCCCAATTGCCAGCATCACTACTCTTGCACTTTATTATTAAGTAAAACAGTGGTCACTTGAACACAAGCACTGTGATACCATGACAGTCAATCTGATCATTGAGACAGCTACTAAGTGAGTAACCAGAAGGTGGCTTATGCAGTGTGGATATGCTGGAGAAAGGGATAGTTCATATCCCAGGTGGGACAGAGTGGGATGGCACAAAATTTCGTCACGCTATTCAGAATGGTACACAACTTAAAACTTACAAATTGTTTATTTCTGAGGGGAGACTGCTGTATACTTTGTAACCACCATTCCAATCAAGAAATTTCCATCACCCCAGAATGTTCCCTTATGCTGGTTTGCAGTCCATTCTCTATCTTCCCTACTCCCTTTTATTGATTTCGAATTACACGAGCATCAGAGCTGTGGCACCTAGTTGTGTAGATTGTATTCTGCCCAGCTTTAGGGAGCACCATTCACATTGGAGTCCTTGTGCCTGGCAGCTGCTGGAGTTGTGTAGTGCACACTCTGTGTGACTGTGTGCTGCAACTCTGCAGGTGGCTCAGAACACACACTCACTTGTCAGATACTCAAACAGTACAGACAGAATAAAGGCCCCCTTGACCTACTCACGGAAACAAGTTATCAGTTTTTGTGGTCTTTCCAGACTATTCTCTATGTATTTTCATGTATATATAGGGAACACAAACTCATCTGATACTCAAAACAGTATAGACAGAATAAAGGCCCCCTTGACCTACTCACAGAAACAGAAGTTATCAGTTTTTGTGGTCTTTCCAGGCTATTCTCTATGTATTTTCATGTATATATAGGTAATACAGAATAAAAAAAGAGCAGAGTTTTTTCTCCTCTGCATTAATGACATCATACCATACACATTGTTCTGCAGTTTTTTCCCCTAACAGAATGATTTTGAGATTTTTTCATGTTGGAACACAGGAATCAACCTGAGTCTTCTTAACTACTACACAATCTCTTATGTAGTATGTATCGTAGTTTATTTAGTATTCTCATTAAGGACCGTTGCTGCAGTGAATGAAAAACTACAGTTGCTGGGTCAGAGGTATGCGTTTTACTTCATAACTGATGGGGCTATAACCATGTTGCTGCTTGTGGATTTAATCCATTTATTTTCAACTGCTTAGTGTATTCAGTTGTAGGCTTTTTTTTTTTTTTGAGATAGGGTCTTCCTCTGTCGCCCAGACTGGAGTGCAGTGGCACTCCAGGGCTCAAGTGATTCTCCCAAGTAGCTGGGACTACACTTGCGTGCCACCATTTAAAATTTTTTGTAGAGATGCAGTCTCGCCATGTTGCTCAGGCTGGCAAGTGATCCTCCCAAAGCGTTGGGATTACAGGCATGAGCCCCTGCACCTGGCCCGGTTGTGGACTTACATCACAGCGCACGTGTCCTTTTACTCACTGAGGAACAGTTGGGTTCCTTTAGATGCTGATTCTTCAGTGGGTCTGTGTGTTGCAAATGCATCCTGCCAGCCCTAGGCTTTTCTTTCCCTTTGTTAACAATGTATTTGGTTGTATATACCATTTAAGTTTAATGTCATATTTATGAAAAATTTCCCTTAAATGGCTTGTCTTTTTTTGGGTGTGTATCTGGTTTAAGAAAATTTTCTGTCTCTCATGGTGTTAATGATATATTCTTAGAGTTTCTTCCAAAAGTTTAAAAAAGTTTTGCTTTCCAGATGGAATTTATTTCTATGTATGGTATAATGAAAAGATACAATTTTTTTTTCAATTTGGATGACCAGTTTTTCAGCACTCTAACTTTTTTTATTATAGTAAAATACACATAACATAAAAATAACAATTTTAACCATTGTAAGTGTACAGTTCTGTAGCATGAAATACATTCACATTGTTGCACAGCCATCACCACTGTCTCCAGAGCTTTTTCATCATCCCCAACTGAAACTCTGTACCCCTTAAACACCAGCTCCCCATTCTTCCCTCAGCGCCTGGCAACCACCATTCTACTTTCTGTCTCTATGAATTCGACTACTCTAGGTACCTCATATGAATGGAATCATTACAATATTTGCCCTTTTGTATCTGGCTGATTTCACTTAGTATAATGTCCTTAAAGTTCATTCATATTGTAGCATGTGTGAAAATTTCCTTTTTAAGGCTGAATAATATTCCATGGTATGAATATACCACATTTTGTTTATTCATTCATTGATGGACATTTGGGTTGTTTCCCCGTTTTGGCCATTACAAGGAGTGCTGCTATGAACATTGGTATCTGTATGTCTGTTTAAGTCTCTGTTTCCATTTCTTTTGTGTATGTACTCAAGTGCAATTGTCAGTAATACAGTTTTTAAAACAATATACATAATGGAATAAAAATAGATTAACACAATTTTGACCAATGTGGCTGAATAGTATGGAGTTTCCATATACCCACTCTTTCCCATATGGTTTCTCCTATTATTAACATCTTGCATTAGTATGCTACATTTATTATAATTGATAAACTAATATTGATACATTGTTGTTAAAGTTCATGATTTAGAGTTCACTCTTTGTATTGTATAGTTCTATGGGTTTTGACAAGTGCGTAATGTCATGTATCATTTACATGGCATGACTGCATGCTACAACCCTGCAAGGGGCTCACTTGTAAAATACTCAACAGTACAGACAGAATAAATGTCATTACATGGCTATAGTTTTACCTTTTCCAGAGTTGGAAATGTCATAGATTTGGAATCATGTAGTATGGAGCCTACTCAGATTGGCTTCTTTTGCTTAGCAGTATGCATTTAAGTTTCCTCTAAGTCTTTTTTGCGACTTGATAGCTCATTTCTTTTTTTTATTTTTATTTTTTGAGACTGAGTCTCACTCTGTGGCCCAGGCTGGAGTGCAGTGGCGCGATCTCGGCTCACTGCGAGCTCTGCCTCCCGGATTCACACCATTCTCCTGCCTCAGCCTCCCGAGTAGCTGGGACTACAGGCGTCCGCCACCATGCCTGGCTAATTTTTTGTATTTTTAGTAGAGACGGGGTTTCACCATGTTAACCAGGATGGTCTCGATCTCCTGACCTCATGATCCGCCTGCCTTGGCCTCCCAAAGTGCTGGGATTACATGCGTGAGCCACCGCGTCCGGCCAGCTCATTTCTTTTTAGCGCCGAATGATAATATTCCTTTTTATGGAAGCACCACAGTTTGTTTATTCGTTCACCTACTGAAGGACATCTTGGTTGCTTCTAGTTTTTGGCAATTTTTGAATAAAACTGCTATAAACATCCGTGTGCAGGTTTTTGTGTAGACATTAAATTTGTAACTCACTTGGGAAAATACCTAGGAGAGTGATTGCTGGGTCGAATGGTAAGAATATATCAAGCTTTGTAGGAAACTATTAAACTATCTTTCAAAGTGACTGTATCATTTGCATTCCCAATAATTTTTAAAATTTATGTCCAAGTACCCTAAATGTACTTATATAATAAGTATGTCAGACTGTTCTGTAAAGTTAAACTTCACCTGGAATAATATTTAGTCATTGGTTTTGTTGGCTGTCTTTCTTGCAGTGTATCTCTTCATGTGTTTTGAAGTACAGACTTTTTTTTTTGAGATGGAGTCTGGCTCTGTCGCCTAGGGTGGAATACAGTGGCATGATCTCAGCTCACTGCAGCCTCTGCCTCTACCTCCCAGGTTCAAGCGATTCTCCTGCCTCAGCCTCCCGAGTAGCTGGGATTATAGGCACCCGCCACCACGCCTGGCTAATTTTTGTATTTTTAGTAGAGACAGGGTTTCACCATGTTGGCCAGGCTGGTCTCAAACTCCTGACCTCAAGTGATTCGCCTGCCACAGCCTCCCAAAGTGTTGGGATTAAAGACGTGAGCCACCACACCCAGCCAAATTACAGACCCATTTTCAGAGTGAGTGCTTTTGATTTTGTTTTCTTTTCTTTTTTTTTTTTTTAATTTTGTTTTCTTCTGTGCCCACTGTCCTCTGTGTGGTGATATTTCAGGTGCTTCAGCTGACCTACTGGGCCTCAGTCTAGAATCAGATATGATAATTGTGGGTCAAGGGTCCTGCCCTTTGAGTTAATTGGGCTATTTTCGATCCTCTCATAGAGTATGGTCCTGAGGCTGTTTATATCTTCCCACTTATCTAAGCCTAGAGTATTAGATAAACTGTAGTTCTAGGCAGAGATTGGCAGCAGTATTTTTTAGCTTCCTTTCAGCTCCAGCATCATTGCTGGCCTTGAGCAGTGGGTCTGGCCCAGATATCTCCGTTTCTTCATCCTCCTTTGCTTTCTGTCATTACTACCTGCAGGAAGTGCACACCTGGTCTAGACTCCGGATCCAGCAAGCCTAGAGCTTCAGTCCTGCTTGCAACTTTGTGTATCTATTCTGTTTCTCCAAATAGAGGTTTATCTTGTTTTTGAGCCTAATTAAAAAAAATTGTTAAAAAATATTTTATCCATTATTGTGTATTTAGAGCAGAGAGGATGCATCAAAGAATGTACTTACTGGCCACTTTCTAGAAGATTTAATTAGCCAAGCTCCTTTCTCAACTTTATACAAAGACTTTTTTCTTTGTTATGGCATTGCCTAGGCCTTCCAGTACAAGAATAAGTATAATAATGGGCATTTTAATCTTTTTCCTGAGTGGTAATGTTTCCAGTGTTTCACTGTTAGATATGATGTTTACTGTTGGTTTTTGGAAGATGTCTTTTGTCAATTTAAGGAAGTTTTCTTCTGTTCTTGGTAAATATTTTTAATTGGGTGTTGAATTTTATGGAGGCCTTTTTTTGGGGCATTTCTTGAAATTATTTTTTCCCTTCTTTAACATGTCAAGAATAGGACAGATCTCTCTGAGTTGTAGGTAACTGAGAGAAACAGATGTATATGATTTACTTGTTAATTCACTTTTAACAAAAAACCTCACAACCTTTAAAGAAAACACATTTTAAACTTGAATTTTTGTATACTAACATTATATATAAGTTAAAATAGGGCTGAAATGCTGTAGTAATCAGGTTTGGACTAAATATCATCGTAACTTCACTATATTTGAATAGTACCTAATAATATCAATAATAGTAGCTAACATTTATTGGGCTCTTACTGGATGCCATTGTGCTAAATGCTTTACATGATATTGATTTAAGAGTTACCACAGCCCCGTGAGGTTATTTAGCTACTCAGAACTCTTTGTTGTAGTGGAGTGCAGTTACTGAATTTTTTTATTGGAACCTAGAGAACTCTCTCAGATTTGTAAAAAGCAAATCTTTAAGGTTTTATGAACATTTATTTTCCCTGGCCTTTTTTTTTTTTTTTTAAATCTGAAAGAGAAGAGAAAAGAAGTATTAAAGGAAGAATATTTGAGAATTTTTCTGAAATAAGCAAGGAAGTTCTCTTTCAATAAAGTTTGGCTTGTTGTAACTAAGTGTTAATGAGAGTCTTAGTCATCACTAACTTTTTTTTTTTTTGAGACGGAGTCTTGCTCTGTCATCCAGGCTGGAGTGCAGTGGCACGATCTCAGCTCATTGTAACCTCTACCTCCTGGGTTCAAGGGATTCTCTTGCCTCAGCCTCCCAAGTAGCTGGGACTATAGGCGCATGTCACCATATCTGGCTATTTTTTTCTATTTTTATTAGAGACTGGGTTTCATTGTGTTAGCCAGGATGGTCTCCATCTCCTGACCTCGTGATCCACCCGCCTCAGCCTCCCAAGGTGCTGGGATTACAGGCATGAGCCACCGCGCCTGGCCCCTCACTGACTTCTTAATTAAATGGACATCCAAAGAAAAACTGACAGGGAGATGGTGGGAGGTGGTGAACTTACATAAGAAATTTCAATACTTGGATGCTTTGACGTAGCTGAGAGCTGGCAGGGTTAAGAAATTAACAAAAAGATGGAAAGGAAATAAAGGCTATTTAACACAAAGGCATGTACAGAGACATCCTGGAGACACTTCCAAAGCCTTCTCTCCTTTTCCTTTAGTCTTTACTGTGGGAGTTACGTAACTTCTGCGTGTAGACGTAGTCCAGGTGTGAAACACTCTATTTTCTATGAATAGAACAGAGTGTAAGAACTAACAAGGATCCAAACTTTTTGCTGCACTCTCTTCAGATCCTACTTAGCTCCATGATTTAAGGTCTGATCCAGCACCACAGTTTTGGGACCTGTGTTCTTTCCTTATTCCTTGAGGCCTCATGTTGCCCTGGAGGGGGCGATGTGACACAATAGAAAGAAAATGGGCTCTAGCGCTTTAGCATCGTCATGGTCAACTCCGCAGATTCCTAGCTTTGCAACTTCAGGCCAAGTTACCTGACCACTTAGACTTTAGTTTCCTCTCTACTTCTAACACCCCTAATCCTGAAAATCTCCTCAAGCTCAGCACGGTCTTGTCTTCTCACCTACTTTTAAAAAGAGCAATAGTCTCCAAAGTGGGAGGTATGTAAAATGATCCTCTAGGCAGGGTGTTACAAGAAAATATGAGCAATCAAGTTTTACCAGTATTTGACCCATAGGTTGACACTTTACTTCATCTGTGTGTCTGATGATGTCTGTCACGTACGGTAAGCTAGGGAACCCCACCGCCTGGAGGGGCTGATACTGTGATCCTCCTTATTTACCTGCTTATATTGTTTTAGCACATGTTTTAGTTCACCTCTGCTGGGTTTAGTGGTCTTTCAGATCATATTACCTGATTTGAATAAAATGAACTTTGCTAAATAGACAGATGGCTCACAAAGATTCCTGCAAAGAAAATGCAGATTGAAGTTTCAGAGTCAGCAGAAGATTGAAGTAATAATACAAATACACGTGAACAGCCAGAAAGAAACAGAGTGGATACTTCTATTTATATTATGAACTTGTCAGTCAAATGCATAATATAAAAACAATGGTGATCTCATCAGATTGATGAAAAAGCAGTAATAAAAAATAGCTTAGAATTACTAAAAATACTATTTAAAATATGGACTTATATACACTGTTGAGTACATTGTACCTGAAGGTATTTACTAATGATATTATGGGCTAATCTTATAAATTGAGATATTTAAAAACTAAATATTCAGAATATAAAGACAGACTTATTGATGTTTTTCAGTGATTGTCAGTCATAATCCAGTACCTTAAAATTTTATTAAGGTTAATAATACATTTTTAGAAGTTCCTTTTGAGGTTTAGGAATAAAAGACAAAAAGTCATAAACTCTTGTTCTTCTTGTTTGGTAACAGTGGCTGAAATGATATATAGATAAATAATTTGAGTTTGGTGTAAAACTGAAAAGTATCCTGTATTAGCAACTGTTGTTGAGATACTGGTAGAACACGTTGCTGAAGATTTTGAAATGATGGCTATTGTACCAAATTTTAGAGTTCATGGGAGTTCATGTATATTTGGATAAAAGTACAGAGCTTATGGTATTTGGTATACTCTGTTTCAATAATAAAATATATGGAAATATATGGAGAACTGTGCTCCCCACCCCCGCTAAAACACTCAGGATAAGACTTACCAGAGAATTTACTAAAAGTAGATGATCTAAAATGTTATAAAGAAATAGTACATATAAAGCATAAAGAATAATATATTGTTCAACCATTGTGGAAGATGGTGTGGGGATTCCTCGAGGATCTAGAACCAGAAATAACGTTTGACCCAGCAATCCCATTACTGGGTATATACCCAAAGGGTTATAAATCATTCTCCTATAAAGACACATGCACATTGTGTTTATTGCAGCACTATTTACAATAGCGAAGACTTGGAACCAACCCAAATGCCCATTAATAATAGAACGGATAAAGAAAATATGGCACATACACACCATCGAATGCTGTGCAGCCATAAAAAAAGAATGAGTTCATGTCCTTGCAGGGACATGGATGAAGCTGGAAGCCATCATTCTCAGCAGACCAACACAGGAACAGAAAACAGAATACCGCATGTTCTCACTCATAAGTGGGAGTTGAACAGTGAGAACACATGGATACAGGGAAGGGAACAACACACACAGGGGCCTGTTGGGGGGTGGGGGCCAAGGGGAGGGAGAGCATTAGGACAAATACCTAATGCATGCAGGGCTTAAAACTTAGATGGCGGGTCAATAGGTGCAGCAGACCACCATGGCACATGTATACCCATGTAACAAGCCTGCACGTTCTGCACATGTATCGCAGAACTTAAAGTAAAATTAAAAAAATATGTTTCCACTTAAGTAAATGGAGCACAAAAAAAGAAGACTATATTGTACCTAGAACCCAGCCTAAGAAAGAAAATATAGCCAGTGGAGTTGGTATACCTCTGCGGTCATAATTCTGTTTCCATCCCCAGAGATACTCTCTTTTCTGAATTTGATGATTACCATTTCCATATACTTCTTTATACTTTTGCTGTGTGTGTGTGTGTGTGTGTGTGTGTTTGTGTGTGTGTGTGTGTGTGTGTGTGTGTATTTGTATATTTGTATGTTATATTCAGGGCCAGGGCCAGGGTGAGATGAGGAGGCACCTAGGTCCCCAATGTAAGGAGCCCCTCAGCCATGGGCTTGCATGACCCCCAGGGTGATGCTTCCTTAAATTTTGTGCCCCAGGTACCTCGTTCACATCACCATAGTCCCAGTCCTGCTTCTGTTAATATGCATGTTTTTAAGCTTTATGGAAATAATATTATTTTTTATGTATTCTCTTGTAACTTTTTTCACTTAATATTGTGAAATTGATCCATCTCGATAAATGTAGCCCTGCTTTATTCTGTTGTGCGATTGACTATACTATAATTTTATTTTCCCATGCTTCTGTTGATGGACATTTAGGTTGTTTCTGATTTTGTGTTTAGAAACAATATCATCATAAGCATTCTTGTATGTGTCTCCTCAGGACATAGTTGTAAAAAGGGAATTTCTGGGTAATTAGATACATCCATTTGTTTTTTTTGTTTTTTTTTTTTTGAGACGGAGTCTCGCTCTGTCACCCAGGCTGGCGTGCAGTGACACAATCTCAGCTCCTTGCAGCCTCCACCTCCTGGGTTCAAGCAGTTCTCCTGCCTCAGCCTCCCGAGTAGCTGGGACTACAGGCGCCCACGACCATGCCCAGCTAATTTTTTGTATTTTTAGTAGAGACGGGGTTTCACCATGTAGGGCAGGCTGGTCTCCAACTCCTGACCTTAGGTAATCCACCTGCCTCAGCCTCCCAAAATACTGGGATTACAGGTGGGAGCCACTGCGCCTGGCCTATATCCATTTTTAATATTACTAGATACTGCTTTTGCTGTTATATTTATGCTTTCACCAGCAATATATGAGAATTCATGTCACCTCATATTTTTGCCAATATAAATGGTATTTTCAGACTCATTTTTTTCATTTGATGTGTGTGATGGGTAAATTATATTTTTGTAAATTTTGTGTTGCAGAATTAAACAGATACTAAAAAAATCATAGCTTAGTGAATTATTGTAGAGCAAACGCTTCTGTCATCTTCACCCAGGTGAAGAAATAGAATTCTGCCAGCCCTATTAGAAGCTCCTCCATGTACCTCATCCCAGTCATAGCCCCTTCCTTTCCCCCCAAAGCAATCGCTGTCCTGATTTGTATAGTAATCCCTTCCTTGGATTCCTTTATGGTTTTCTACCCCAACTGTGGATCCTTAGATATTATAGTTTAGTCTTGAGTTATTATGTGCAACTTTTTATGTATTTGTTTTCCATTTTTGTTGTCTCTTCTGTGAATCGCCTGCTTATATCTTAGGTCAGATTTTCTTACCGGTTTGTACAAATTCTGTGCATATCGTGGATACCAGTTGTTGGTTATAAGCATTGCCGATCTCTTTTCCCAGTTAGTGACTTGTCTTTTCATCTTTCTCATGAGTTTTGATACTTAGATTTAAGTGTAGTTTAACTTAGGCAAACTTTTGCTTAGAAAGTCCTTCCTTATGTTGAGATTAAAAGATATTTTGAGACTACTGTAACAAAAGCTTAATTGCAAAAGACATAAACAGGCACCTCACAGAAAAGGAAACACATATGACCAGTAAACATATTAGAGATGGGTACCTTCATTAGTGATCAAAGAAATACCAATCAAGACCACAATGAGATGATATCATATACCCATGCTGTTGGCAAAATTTGAAAAGCCTGGTGGATCTAGTGTTGGAGAGATTGTGAATTCACAGGATCTCTGATATATCACTGACAGGAATGTACTTTGTTGCACTTTAAAAAACATTTTGGCAATTCCTTTTTTAGATACACACCCAAGATAAACTCTTGACCTTGTGCAGCAAGAGACAGGTACAACGTTTTGTAGCAACACTGTCCACGATAGAAAAAAACAAAACTAGAAACAACTCAGATTTCCATCAGTAGGAGAGTAGATTAAAATGCAGTTTTGGAATTATACAGCGTTAAAAAAAATGAACAACAGGGTGAATCTTAGCAATATAATATTTAGTGAAAACGATTACCTTAGGGTTATGCATAGTAAGATATCTTTTTTCTGTTTAACTTATTTGAGATATAATCCACATACCATATAATTCAACCTACAGTTCAGTGGTTTTTAGTATATTTCTAGAGTTGTGCAACCATCACTATTAATTTCAGAACATTTGCATCATCCCTAAAAAGAACCCTGTACTCATTAGCAGTTACTCCCTATTCACCTTCCCCCGTCAACCCTCCACAAACCCCTGGAAACCAATGATTAATTTTCTGTTGCTATGGATTTACCTATTCTGGACATTTCATAGAACTGGAATCATATAATACATGGTCTTCTATGACTGGCTTCTTTCATTTAGCATAGTGTTTTCAAGGTTCATCCATGTTGTAGCATGCTTCAGTACTTCATTCCTTTTTATGGCTGAACAATATTCCATTGTATGTATATGCCACAATTAGTATGAATATACTGCAGTTTCATTCCAGCACCACTTGTTGAAAAGACTGTCCTTTCTCTCTTGAATTGTCTTGGTACCTGTGTTGAAAATCAGATGACCATAAGTGTAAGGATATATTTCTGGACTCCCAGTCTGTTCCATTGATTCCTATTGCTATCCTTGTGCCAGTACTACACTGTTTTTTTTATTACTGTGGTTTTGTAGTAAGTTTTCATACGTTCATGGACTTCATTTGCTAATATTTCGTTGAAGACTTTTGCAGTGAAAATGAACAATGTTCATGAACATTGGTTGGTAGTTTTCCTTTTTTTCTGCCTTTGTTGGGTTTTGTTATCTAGGTAATGCTGGCTACAAAATGAGTAGGTAAGTGTTTCCTTGTCTTTTGTTTTCTGGAAGGGTTCTTGTAGAATTGGGCTTGCAGATTCCTTTCACAGAAGGTTTTTTTTTAAACTACAAATTCAATCTCTTTAGTAATTATAGGGTTATTCTGGTTATCTGTTTCACCCTGGGCGAGTTCTGGCAATTTGTAGCTTTTGAGGAATTGGTCAGTTTTATCTGAGTTGTTATATGTATAGATTAGAATTGTTCATAATATTTCTATGGTGTTTCTTTTAATGTTCATGTGTTCTGTAGTGATAACTTCCCCTCTTTCATTAGTAATATTGATAATTTATGCCCTCTTTTTTTTGTTGCTCTGTTTTGCTAGAGGTTTATCAATTTTATTGATCTTTTCAAAGAACTAGCTTTTAGTTTCATTGACTTCTCTTTCTTTTAGTGAATTCTAGTTTCAATGCATTATGGTCAGATAACATACTCTGTATGATTTTAATTCTTTTGAATTTGTTACTGTTTGTTTTATGGCCCAAGCTCTGGTCTTTGTTGGTACATGTTTCATGTGCACCTAAAAAGAATGTACATTTCATTATTGTTGGTAGAGTGTTCCATAGATGTCAATTAGCTCTGGTTGGTTGATAGTGTTGCTCAGTCCTTCCACTACCTTATCACTACCTTTTCCCCCACCCTCTTCAGTGAGGTCATTTCATACATATATAATACTGTTGGATTGCTTTATCACATTCTGCTTTTCATTCTGGGATCCTCTGATTTTTTTTTTAATTGCATGCATTAAGGTTCACTCTTTGTGGCTGGTGTGGTGGCTCACTCCTGTAGTCCCGAAACTTAGAGAAGCAGGGGTGGGACGATTGCTTGAGCCCAGGAGTTCGAGACCAGCCTGGACAACAATAATGAGACCCTGTCTGTACAAAATACATAAATAAAAAGTTAAAAGATTAAAAAAATAAAGATTCACTCTTTGTGTTGTAAAGTTCTGTCGGTGTTGACAAACACATAGTGTCATGTTTCCACCATTACAGAATCATACAGAATATTTCTCTGCCCTAAAAATTGCCCCGTGCTTCACCTACTCAGTTCACTGCCTGCTTTCCCCAAACTCTGGCAACCACTGATCATTTTCCTGTTTCTATAGTTCTGTTTTATCTAGAAGGTCATAAAATTGGAGTCATACAGTATGTAGCCTTTTCACACTGGCTTTTTTCACTTAGCATTATGCATTTAAGGTTCCCCCATGTCTTTTGATGGCTTGATACTTTGTTCTTTTTATTGCTGAACAATATTCCATTTATGAAGTATTGCAGTTTATTTATGCATTCACCTATTGAAGGGCATCATCATTGCTTCCAGCTTTTGGCAATCAAGAATAAAGCTGTAAACATTTGGGTGCAGGTTTTGTGTGGACATAAATTTTCAACTCAATTGAGCAAACACCTAGCAGTGCAATTATTGGATCGTATGGTAAGACTGATTAGCTTTATAAGAAACTGCCAGGTTTCTCACATCGTGACTGCTTGTGCATTCCCATCAGCAATGATGAGAGTTCCTGCTGCCTCTGCATCCTTGTTAGCATTTTTTTTTCTTTTTTTTTTTTTTTGAGATGGAGTCTCACTCTGTTGCCCAGGCTGGAGTGCAATGGTGCGATTTCAGCACACTGCAACCTCCGCCTCCCAGGTTCAACCAATTCTCCTGCCTCAGCCTCCTGAGTAGCTGGGACTACAGGTGTGTGCCACCACGCCCAGATCATTTTTGTACTTTTAGTAGAGACAGGGTTTCGCCATGTTAGCCAGGCTGGTCTCGAACTCCTGACCTCAGATGATCCACCCACCTCGGCCTCCCAAAGTGCTGGGATTACGGGTGTGAGCCACTGCACCCGGCCCTTGTCAGCATTTGATGTTGTCAGTTGTTTTTTATTTTAACTATTCTGGTAGGTATGTAGTGTTATTTTGTTGTTTTAATTTGTAATTTCCGAATAGATTTTCCAACAAAAGGTGTTGTTGAACACCTTTTCATATGCTTATTTACCATCTGTGTATCTTCTTTGGTAAGATTTCTGTTCAGAGCTTTTGATTGTTTTTGATTAAGCTGTTGTTTTGTTACTGAGTTTTATGAGTTTTGTTTGTTTGTTTGTTTGAGACAGGGTTTTGCTCCGTCACCCAGGCTGGAGTGCAGTAGTGTGATCACAGTTCACTGCAGCCATGAACTCCTGGGCACAAGCGATCCTTCCCACCTCAGCCTCCTGAGTAGCCAGGAATACAGGTGTGCACCAGCCTGCCTGGCAGTTTTTGTATTTTTCTTGTAGAGATGAGCTTTTGCCATGTTGCCCAGGCTGGTCTTGAACTACTGGGCTGAAGTGATCTGCCCACCTCAGCCTTCCACATCCTGTTGGGATTACAGGTGTGAGTCACCGTGCCCAGTGTTCTTTATATAATTTGTATACAAGTACTTCATCAGATACGTGTTTTGAAAATATTTTCTGTCACTCAGTTGCCTGTCTTTTCATTCACTTAATAGTATCTTTTGTGGGGCAGTTAATTTTGATAAAATCTAACTATTTTTTTTTTTATTTCATGGGTTGTGCTTTCCAAACCCATTCATTTGGTTTTGCTTTGGGCTGAGGATATTAAACAGCCTTTTCTAGGAACTTTCAGTTTCAACCCTTTCATTTATTTATTTTTGAGACGGAGTCTCACTCTGTTACCCAGGCTGGAGTGCAGTGGCATGATCTCGGCTCAGTGCAACCTCTGGCTCCTGAATTTAAAAGATTCACCTGCCTCAGCCTCCCAATTAGCTGGCATTACAGGCATGCACCACCACACCCAGTTAATTTTTTTTGTATTTTAGTAGAGACTGGGTTTCACCATGTTGGCCAGGCTGGTCTTGAACTCCTGACCTCAAGTGATCTGCCTGCCTCGGCCTCCCAACGTGCTGGGATTACAGGCGTGAGCCACTGCACCTGGCCAAGTTTCAACCCTTTTAGATTTAAGAAACTTCTCTTACATTTGCATAGCTAGGACCCTGGTCTTTATAGACTGAAGATGTGTTCTGGTTCTTTAAATTGGGTGAAATGAAGCAGTGATTCGGACCCACTGAAGATCAGAGATGTTTCAATAAACGTGCCTACTGGATTTCTCTGTATGCCCACAGGATGAACCATAGGAAGACAGGGGTGGAGAGTTCTGAGATCACAAGGTCATAGAATTTTATTTGTGCATTAGTGTGGACAAAGATTTTGGCAGTTGAAATGGGAAAAGAGGGTGGATATGAGCGTGATTATGAGGAAGGAAATGGCAGGGTTTGAAATTAGAGTTAGTGTGAAGGTAATGATATTGGTTATCTCTAGATTGTGTGGCTAAGAAAAGGCAGAGTGCTAGGAGTTCAAGTGGAAGGAAGTAGAGAGATGTACTTACATTCATGGTAGCATTGGTCTTCAAGATTATATCAGAATGGCAAGGGTATCTCATCAGCTGTGGTATTGGAGTAGATAATACCCTTCTTAGGTATGGAACTGTTAAAAGCATAATTACAAAGATACAGGCATTAGTGTACTTAAAGCACTGGCATGGAGTCACCTTTGACTGGGCCTAGGGAAATGGTTTATAGTAATCTCAGTTTTTGTGTATCCCATTAATTTGGATTTTATGTACCCTGAATTATAAGATTGCTTGAAATGAAACTACTTAATGCCTTAATTCTCCCAGTAGCTGACTTGTAGACAAGGATTTAAATGCAAGTATTTTATTTTGGAGGTTATCCTTGGAAAAGCCAGTGGGGGAGTGGGAAGTGAGATAGGAGAGGGAAGATAGCAAAGATTGCAAATACGAGATTTGTTTTCAAGCCAGGTACTGATTTTTTTCACAGTATTCCCACTGAGAAACTCCAGGAGCGAATGTAAAACTTGTGTCTTAGAGTTATAGTCCTTCAGGGGAAAGGTAGTTGGAGTATTTATATACCATCTCTTTCAGTTATTGGTTAAGATTGTTTTCAGGAGGTGGTAGATCTACCTGACAGGCGTGTATGTCAGGCGTGCCATGCCGGGAACAAAATGGACTCGAGGTTAGAGAAAGCTCTCAGGTGCTGTCAGGCCAGTGTACCTGGTAGGGGATAGGGGATATACAGACTCTCTTTTGACTCCTTCCTTAATACCTTGCCATGCAGTTCCGGGATTTTCAATTTATTTCCTTTAAGACATCATTGGAAACATTTATTTCCACCTTAAATGAGCCATTCTAGTAGCATGTTAGGACTGGCTCCAGATGCCCTTTTTGGAACATTAAATTGTGAGTCATGGAAGAGTGGCCCATATCAACAGACGTTTCCTTGCCAGTCTTATACTTGACCACCAAGTTCAGTAGTCTCAAGATCCAGGTATGTTCTTCCAGTTCTTGCCAGTACATCTCATCATATCATACTGTGTTGGTGAATCAATGCTTTCATCAAAAGGAAGGCCAGTACCTCCCTATTCTGACAATGCCTGGTTGTTAGCCTAGAAGCAATGAGGGAGGTAGGCACATATCTCCAGGAGGGTAGGCATCTTTGGAGGCATGCATCCCAGCTAAGACCTCTGCATAGTTTTTAGTCAGGGGAGACCGCCCTCTTGTAGTAAGAGGAAGAAAGCCGCTTCTGGCCTAGAAGGTTCAGAAGAATCTTGTCAGGACTGTGAATTCAATCTTTGTAATTTGCCTGCTTTCACAGTCGAAACTTGGGTCTAATTTTTAGCACAGTCTGTCTTCAGGCAAAGAAATGCAGATGCTGGCAACTAGAAACTGGACAGTTAGACCTTAGCGTAGCCTGGTGATAGAATGAAGGCAGGGTCTGCTGCACCTGTTCAGTCAACAGATGATGTCAGTGTTATGGCTCCTGTTGAGTAACAGACTTTTCTTAGCATCAATTTGGTGTGCTGGTCCATTCTAACACTTAGGGAACACTGACTGTGTGCTGGGAACTGTTCTAGGCATTTGCTGTGAGTCCTCACAACAATCCATGAGGAAGGTACTCGTGATCATCACAGTTTTACACATGATGAATCCGAGATTCAGAAGGATTAAGTAATTTTTCCAGGGTCCAAGTGTTGGAGCTAGTGTTTGAAATTTAGTTTAATTCACTAAAACACTCATTCTTTTGTTATTCCACATTGCTTCCCAAAACGTATCCCCATTATGTCCATTTGACAAATGATGAATTTGAGATGCAGAAATTGAGTGACAAGATGAGTTTCAAGGCTAGTTAAAGAAAACTATTGTTAGAATTCAGGATGTCAACTGTTTTGCTGTTGAATATCATATTGAACAAGTGGCTAAATTTAATACTGGCTGTTTTCGAATGTTTACCGTTTTTAAAATTTCGTTACGTGGTCTGTCTCAGGGTTTCTCAGCCTCAGCACTATGGCTGTTTTGGACTGGATGATTCTTTATTGTGAATACTCTCCTGTGCATTGTAGAATGTTTAGCAGTGTCCCTGACCTCTGTTTACTAGATGCCAGTAGCACCCTCCCAGTTGTGACAACCAAAACTGACTGTAGATATTGCTAAATGTCCCATGGGGGCAAAATTGTCCCTGGTTGAGAACCAGGCCAATCTCTAAAGGTGGTTGTGTTATGACAGAGCTCACCTAGAGTAATTCAGAAGTTTGTTTTGTGAGCAGGGAGTTATATTGCTTTAAAGTGGAAGGAGTACAGTGTGGTGGAAAGAACACGAGCTTTGGAATCTCTTGGCCCTGCTGCTTATCAGTCCCTGTAGCCTTGATTAAGTAATTTGTCTTTTTTGAACTTTTGTTTCCTCATTTGTAAAATGGGCATTATATCTACCGGGTAGGGTTTTGGTGATTAAGCTGGAGGATGATACATGTGGAAGGATGAGGGGAAAAAAGGAGAAAAATGATCTGTAGTAGAAGAAAGTGAAGGAAAGATACAGAAGGCAGTTATCAAGAGCGGGAGTAAAAGGCACATTGGGAAGGTCTAAGACAGCAGGTGAACGAACGGCATCTTCCCTCTTCCCACACTCCAGTCCCAGGTCACTGAGTCTGGAAGAAAGCTCTGAACAGGGCTGAGCGTGGTGGCTCATGCCTGTAATCTCAGCACTTTGGGAGGCTGAGGCAGGCAGATCACTTGAGACTGGGAGTTCGAGACCAGCCTGGCTAACATGGTGAAACCCCATCTCTACTAAAAATACAAAAATTAGCCAGGCGTGGTGGTGCGTGCCTGTAATCCCAGCTACTCAGGAGGCTGAGGCACAAGAATTGCTTGAACCCGGGAGTCGGAGGTTGCAGCAAGCTGAGATCGCACCACTGCACTCCAGCCTGGACTACAGAGTGAGACTGTCAAAAAAAAAAAAAAAAAAGAAAGAAAGAAAGAAAGAAAGAAAGAAAGAAAGAAAGCAAGCTCTGAACAGTTTTCTTTTCCTTCTTTCTTTTTTTTTTTTTTAAAAAAAAAACGTTTAATTGGACTTACAGTGCCACATGGCTGAAGAGGCCTCAGAATCATGGTGGGAGGTGAAAGGCACTTTTTACATGGCAGCAGCAAGAGAAAATGTAGAAAAAGCAAAAGCGGAAACCCCTGATAAACCCATCAGATTTCACGAGACTTATTAACTGTCACGAGAATAGCACGGGAAAGACCGGCCCCCATGATTCAATTACCTCTCTCCCACAACACATGGACATTCTGGGAGATACAATTCAAGTTGAGAATTGGATGGGGACACAGCCAAACCGTATCAGGGATTAATACCTGATTTCTTTAATATGAAATTGAATATTCATGTATATTTTATGTATAAGCTAACTGTTCTTATGTCCTTTATTACAGCCTTTCATTACATTTATTTTCTAAATTATATTTAGTAACATGTTTATCCATATAAAACAGTAGAGATATGGGAAGTTACCTCAACTAATCCAGGACTCTGCAGAGAAAATAATCAAAGTTAGAAGTAAGTCAGCCCCATATTTTTAGCACAGTAAGCAAGTGTATGAGCTCATACAAGTATTGATTTACTAATATTTTAGAAGCTATCAAATAAAAGGATGGCAGTTTATCTTTTTCTGAATCAGGCTTCCAGTTTATTTTTACTGATACTGTCTTAAAATGTGCATTTGCAACTTGGTTTCCGGTCCCTCTTCACAATAGAATGATTAGCACTTGATTGAATTGTCGAATTATACAGTGGTTTATTGTATCTTTCTTTGTCTCTAGGATGATTGAGGAAAGTGGGAACAAGCGGAAGACCATGGCAGAGAAGAGGCAGCTGTTCATAGAAATGCGTGAGTCTTGAGTCCTTGTTCATATGTGCGGGAATGTTTGTGTGGTTTTTTTTTTTTTTTTAGATCAAGTCATAGCTTTAATCAGTTACAACTTTTATGTTATAAGCTTTGCAGAGGGAAGAATGGGAGTTAAAGAATCATGGAGTTGAAGGACCCCAAGCCAAAGCATATATTTGAATAGAATTGACTTGCTTTCTTAGACAAGGCCATAAATAAATAGGCAGAAATGTTACCTAGAATGTCTGTGATTTTGTACCATGCCAGTCAATTTAGATCTCTTGCTGTAACTCCATTGTTACCATGAACTTTGCAGGTGGTGACTAATGATTAATACATTATATAAATTACCTTCCACTAGATGACAGTTCTGAGACAGAGAGGACTCAGTGTTAGGGCAACACCTAGAGCTGTTGGAAAACTAAAAAGAGTGAATGTGTATTTTGATATATTTTTAACTTTAAATATTCTGTTAAAATTTACATTGTTGTATACAGTTCAAACAGAGAGAAGAAGATGGCTGAGAGAAGTTGGGTGGTTCCCAATCCTTGCAGGATTGTTTTGCTCTGTGACTACTTGTCTATGTGACCATGACCATGTGACCTTGACCAACTCAAGGTTGCATTTGCTGGACCTCAAATTCCTTTGTCATGAAATACGGGTAATTGGTCTGGACCAGAGATTAGGAAACCTTTCAAAAGTACTGTACTCTTTTTTTCCCCCAGTGAAATCTTACAAGGACCCTTAACATAAGAGTATGATAAGATTGGTAGTGCTTGGTTGAAGCAGGAGAGGGGAGCCAGCCTGGGATAGCCTCTGAGGTCCTTGCAGAATTCTAGAATTCTGCATATCGCAATATGAAAATCAGTGGGTAAAAGTCTCAGAAGACCCAACTCTCGACATATTTGACACCTTTAGGGTCTTGGTAATGGTAAGCAGAGTTTGACTCAGCTCAGCCATGTGTTGTCCTGTCAGTCATAGGCTGGATAACTATTTGTTAGGGGTGATAAAGAAGAAATTTTGGCATTGGATAGGCAGTCCAACTGGGTGATCATTAAGGACTTTTGTAGTTCGGAGCTTCTAATGGCTAGTAATCCAAGCCAGACACCTTGGAGTCACTTCCCTCCACCTCACCTTCTACCTCCAAAGAAATCAGAAGGCATCTGAGTTTTACTATGTACATGAGTTTGAATCTGTTCGTCACGCCACAGCAGCTTTGAGTCCAGCTTTGCAGTTAGACTGCTTAGTTTGGATCTTGGCTGCCTCACTTCCTGACTGAATAACCTTAGGCAAGTTAACTTAATCTCTCTGGGCCTCTGTTTCCTCATCCATAAAGCAGGAATGGCATTGACTTCATAGAATTGTTGTGAAGATTAAATGAGATAATGTGAATAAAGCACTTGGCACAGTGCCTGGCACTCACATACTTAAGTATGAAGTAAGTAGTACATACTTAATATGGATGGTTGTGTTTATTACTAATTTTTTTTAATCACTGGTACTTTTCTGAACCAAAGCAATAATTTCCTGATCCCTTCTTCCAGTCTTGACCCTCTCAAATCTGCTGTCTATGATCAGCTACCAGATTGAACTATTTAAATCTGTGCTACTTATTATTATTATTTTTTTTTTTTTTGAGAGGGAGTCTCACTCAGCCGCCCAGGCGGGAGTGCAGTGGCGCCATCTCGGCTGACTGCAACCTCCACCTCCTGGGTTCAAGTGATTCTCATGCTTCAGCCTCGTGAGTAGCTGGGATTACAGGTGCCTGCCACCGCGCCTGGCTAATTTTTGTATTTTTAGTAGAGATGGGGTTTCACCATGTTGGCCGGGCTGGTCTCAAACTCCTGACCTCAAGTGATCCGCCTGTCTTGGCCTCCCAAAATGCTGGGATTACAGGCCTGAGCCACTGTGCCTGGCCTAAATCTGTGCTACTTCTTTGCTTACATTCCTTTACTTGCTTCTCATCACTTTAATGGGAAAGACCCCACTCCTAAGAATGCCAAACAAGGCCCTTCTGGCCCCTTTTTTGCTCTGCCCACTAGTTCCCAATTTTTCCATCACATGCCTTGCGTGTTACTTCCCAGCAATACTGAATTGGCTTTCCTGCAGATCATGTGGTTTCATGCCTTTCCGCCTTTGCACAATACTGTTGCCTCCACCACCCGTCATACTGCTTCTGCCTACCCTTCAAAACTCAGCATAGGGGTCATCTTTTCCTTTCAACTTTTAGTGCATTTATTGAGGATCTGCTATGCTCCAGGCACTATTCTGGGTGCTAGGGCTACAGAGGAGAACAAAACACAGTCCCTGACTTCACTTCATGAAACTTCCATGTTAGTAAAGGGAAGCAGACAAAATAGGAAACCAAATACACAAACACAGTAATTCCTGATACTAAGAAGAGGCTGGGGTGCCTTAAGTAATACGCATGCAGGCGTTGATGGGGTAGAGATCTGAAGTAGTCCTGCCAAGAACTGGGTTTACTTCTTTGTGAATGTTACTACTCTTACACAGAAACCTCATATGAATTATCATCCTCTGACTTAAGGATAACAGTCAGTCTGGGAGACGTTTGGTAAGTATGACTTCTTGAGTCTCCTATATTTCTTCACAGGAAGAATTGCATGGGTGACTATAGTGTCTGCTGCTGGAAGCCCCACCCCCTCATTTCCAGCAACGTCAACCAGAAACTCCAGCATAACTACTTTCTATGGATGCCAGAATCACCTTTTTCCAGCCATTATTCAGTTGTATCATTTAGTATGTTGATTTTAGTATGTCAGTTTTGAATCCAGTACTCTTTCTCAACTCTTATTAGTCTTAATGGTTATAGATTCCTACTTAGGTAGGTAACTATACAATTTTTTTCTTTTTCTTTGAGACTGTGTCTTGCTCTGTCACTCAGGCTGGAGTGCAGTGGTATGATCACGGCTCACTGCAGACTCAACCTCCAGGGCTCAATTGATCCTCCCGCCTCAGCCTTCTGAGTATCTGGGACTACAGGCGTGTGCCAGCAGGCCTGGCTAATTTTCTTGTTTTTCGTAGTGATGGGTTCACACTATGGTGCCCAGGCTGGCTGGTCTCGAACTCCTGGGCTCAAGTGATCCTCCCACCTCTACCTCCCAAAACGCTGGGATTACAGGTATGAACTACCGTGCCTGGCCAGTAACTATACCATTTTTAAAGAAAGACAATTTTGACTCTTCCTTTTGTAATTGTAATCCTTATACCTTTTTCTTGACCTAGTGTACTGGTTAGGGCCGCAGAGGTTATATTGAAAAGTAGGAAGGATGGCCAGGTGTGGTGGCTCACGCCTATAATGCCAGCACTTTCGGAGGCCAAGGCAGGCGGGTCGTGAGATCAGGAGATTGAGACCATCCTGGCTAACATGGTGAAACCCCGTCTCTACTAAAAATACAAAAAAATTAGCTGGGCGTGCTGGCAGGCACCTGTAGTCCCAGCTACTTGGGAGGCTGAGGCAGGAGAATGGCGTGAACCTGGGAGGCGGAGCTTGCAGTGAGCCAAGATCGCGCCACTGCACTCCAGCCTGGGCGACAGAGCGAGACTCCGTCTCAAAAAAAAAAAAAAAAAAAAAAAAAAAAAGGTAGGAAGGATAGCGTCTTGTTTTTGATTTTCATGGGAATATTTCTAATATTTCTATTCTTTCTATATTTCTAATATTTCACTGTTAAGAGTGATGATTGGTACAGGTTAACCAGATAAAGGTGAAAGAACTGATATGTCCTAATTTGCCAGGAATCATTATCATTATTTTCTTAAGTCATAACTGAATATTGAATTTTATCAGATGTTTTCTGCTTCCCTTGAGATGAATGTCTTTCCTCTTTACTCTGTTAATATAGTGCTGGGGCCAGCCATCTTTTTCTTAAAGAGCCAGAAAGTAAATATTTTAGGATTTGCAGGCTGTATGATGAGGTCTTTGTCACACTACTCAACTCTGCCATTGTAGCATAAAAGCAGTCATAATAATTTAATAATTTAAATAGTTTTTTTTTAACCTTAGTTTTCAGAATATTTCCTTTTGGAGCTCTTTTTAAAAAAATAATTGTAACTTTTAGATTCAGGGGGTACATGTGCAGGTTTGTTACATAGTTTGTATTTTTCAACCTTGTGTTACCTTTACTATTATGACTTTATATAATATCCTTAAGCCTTTATGTTTTTAGACAGTAGTTTTTACATTTTCTGTTATGAACACAGCGATGAAATTAGCTTATTCTTTCTTTGCTTAATATTTTATCTTGTAGACTCTAAGCATTATGAGAATAAGTATCACATCTGTTTATCATGATGGTGCCTCGATAAATATTTATTAAAAGAAGAATGGAATATATTACATAGAAATAAATGGGTAGTTTATGATTCTTACATGATATAAAATCACCAAGAAAAGTGAAAGGTGACAGGTGAGAAGAGTAATCCTCAACTCTGGTGCCAAAATGAAAGCTCTCCAGTTGATTGTACAAAGTGCTTGATACCAGGCCTCCATGCTCAGAGATTCTGATTTTATTTTGTCTTTTCTAAAGTTTGCCAATTTTATTGGACTGACTTTTGGCTTTATTGGTCCTCTTTGTGTATCTTTGTTCTCTGCCTCATTTGTGCTGTGTATTTTCCTCTTCCTATTTAGGCAATTCTGTTATTTTTCTAACAACTTATGTTGGGTTACTAAGGCCATTTGTTTTCAGCCTTTTTTTTCTTATGTAAGCATTTAAGAATAAACTTTCCTGTGATTTTTTTTTTTGCATCCCAAGTGTTCTGATATTTACTATTTTTCATAATCAGTTCTCTATTTCCTCTAATTTTTATTATTAATTACTTAAAAATATCTTTTTATTGATCAGTTGGTTGGTTGATTGGCTGATTGATAGAGACAGGGTATTGCTCTGTTGCCCAGGCTGGTCTTGAACTCCAAGGCTCAAGCGATCCTCCCACCTCGGCTTCCCAAAGTGCTGGGATTACAAGCGTGGGCCACCGCACCTGGCTGGAGTATCTTTTTAAATTTGAAAGTAAATGTTTTAGTTAAAAAAACCTGTATAGCTTAATTGGGTTTTGGGTCAGGAAATGTGAGAAGATCTAGAATCTTTGAATTTGTTAATTTATGTTTTGTGTTTTTCCAAATATTCCATGAGTACTTGAAAATAATGTGTATGATTTATGCATTATTTAGATCAAGCTTTTTGCATATTTCATTAAAATCTTTTTTGTCCTTGGTGATTTGATTGCTTGATCTTAATCACTGAAAGATGTTAAATATTTCTGCTTTGATCAAGAGTATTAATTTTTTCCCTGTACTTCTGTTAGCTTTTAGAACTTTAATTCTTGGATGCATGTACCTTTAAAATGTTATGTCTATCTAGGAAAGTGAATCCTTTGTCATTGTGTAGTTACCCTCTTTTTCTAGTAATGCTTTTGATGCTTTGAAGTCTATTTTGTAGCATATTGATAGAGCTAATGCTGGCTTTCTTTCAGTTAGCATACTTAGTACAGTATGCATCTTTTCATTCTTTTACTTAAATTTCTTAATTCTTATGTTTTTGTCTCTTGTAAGTAGCATAAGCTAGAATATTTAGAAAAAAACTAATATGGCAGTCTTTGCCTTGTCACTGAAGAGTTTATTTTGTCTAGCCTTTTTAATGAATACACATATATTTCATATTTTCTGTTGACAAAAAGAGTCAAATTCTGTAAAATATTTGAAGAGATTTATTCGAAGCTAAATATGAGTGACCATGGCCCGTGACACAGCCCTCAGGAGGTCCTGAGAACATGTGCCCAAGGTAGTCGGGATGCAGCTTGGTTTTATACATCTTAAGGAGGCATGAGACTAAAATCACATACATTTAAGAAACATATTGGTTTGGTCCAGAAAGGCAGAACAACTTGAAGGGATGAGGTGGGGGGCCTTCTAGCTTATAGGTAGATTTAAAAGTATTCTGGTTAAAAATTGATTGAGTTTATCCAAAGACCTGGGATCAATAGAAAGGAATGTCTGGGTTGCAATAAGAGGTTGTGGAGACTAGCGTTTTCTCATACAGATGAAGCCTCCAGGTAGCAGGCTGAAGAGAGAATAGGTTGTAATAAGTTTCTTGTATCTTTTTTTTTTTGAGATGGAGTCTCAGTCTGTCACCCAGGCTGGAGTGCAATGGCATGATCTCGGCTCACTGCAATCTCCGCCTCCCTGGTTCAAGCGATTCTCCTGTCTCAGCCTCCCAAGTAGCTGGGATTACAGGCGCCTGCCACTACGCCTGGCTAATTTTTTTTTAGTAGAGATGGGGTTTCACCATGTTGGTCAGGCTGGTCTCAAACTCCTGACCTCAGGTGATCCGCCCACCTCGACCTCCCAAAGTGTTGGGATTACAGGCGTGAGCCACCATGCCTGGCCAATATGTTTCTTATTAGGCTTAAAGTCTGTGTTGTTATTAATGCCCGAGAGGTACGGTGAGGCATGTTTGATCCCAACTTCCTATCATGGCCTGAAACAGTCTCTCAGGTTAAATTTTAAAAGAGCCCTGGCTGAGAAGGAAGTCCATTCAGATGGTTGGGGGGCCTTAGAGTTATTTTTGGTTTACATTTCCATCATATTTTGTGCTTCAATTTTGTCCTTTCTTTCCCCTTCTTAGAGGAACTGAGCTTGCTTTCTTCCTTCCATCCCATTGTTTCCCTCTACTTGGTTGTGAGTTGTATATTTTTCTTTTCTTTACCCTAGAAATATTAACATCAATTAAAATATAGCTTATCAATATTTGTAACTTTTTTCAAATATGAGGGTATTGGAATATTTTAGGGTACCCCCTTAATGAAATTTATACCATTTTTAGTATTATCTTTTTTTAAGGACCAGGTGCAGTGGCTCATGCCTGTAATTCCAGCACTTTGGGAGGCTGAGGCAGGTGGATTGCTTGAGCCTAGGAGTTTGAGACCAGCCTGGGCAACATGGTGAAACCTTGTCTCTAGAAAAATACAAAAATTAGCCAGGTGTGGTGGCATGTTTTTGTAGTCCCAGCTACTAAGGAGGCTGAGAGGTGGAAGGATTGCTTGAGCCTGGGAAGTCAACGTTACAGTGAGCTGAGATTGTGAAACTGCACTTCAATGCCTGGGTGAGTGAGACCCTGTTAAAAAAAAAATCTCTTTTTTACCCCACAGATTAGATTTTGTTATTATTTTTTGTAATCCAGTCCATTTAGTTATTACTTTCTTTTTTTTTCTTTTTTTTTTTTTGTGATGGAGTCTTGCTCTGTCACCCAGGCTGGAGTGCAATGGCTCAATCTCAGCTCAAGCAGTTCTCATGCCTCACCCTCTCAAGTAGCTGGGATTACAGGCGTGCACCACCACACCCAGCTAATTTTTGTATTTCTAGTAGTGACGGGGTTTTGCCCAGTTGGCCAGCCAGGTCTCAAACTCCTGAACTCAAGTGATCTGCCTGCCTCAGCCTCCCAACGTGCTGGGATTACAGGCATGAGCCACTGCACCCAGCCATTTAGTTACCACTTTCTTTGCTTGCTATTATTCTTATTTTTGTTAAATTCAGATAAATTTAAGTCTAAATCAAGGTGGACAAAGGCTTGTGTCCCCAGCATTTCCCTTTGTGGGATGCTTTCTCTTTTTTTCCTAGTTCACCCACTGAGAGAGTCATCCTTACAGTATTCAGTGGTCTTGGTTGTATTTGTATCTTCCTCTCTGGTGGGACCTCTGGCCTCATCTCTGTCCCCCAGGGTTTTTATTCTTATTGCAAAGAAAAAGATAAGGAAGTCATTTGTGTTAGTTATTTGAACTAATAATCTGTTGAAAAATTTCTTATTTCTCATTTTTTTATTTTTGATGCAGAATCTCGCTTTGTCACCCAGGCTGGAGTGCAGTGGCACAATCTCGGCCCACTGAAGCCTCCGCCTTCGCCTCCAGGGTTCAAGTCATTATCCTGTCTCAGCCTCTGGAGTAGCTGGGATTTCAGGTGCTCACCACCATGCCCAGCTAATTTTTGTATTTTTAGTAGGGATAGGGTTTCACCATGTTGGCCAGGCTGTCTCAAACTCCTGATCAGGTGATTCAGCTGCCTTGGGCTCCCAAAGTGCTGGGATTACAGGCATGAACAACCACACCCAGCCAAAAATTTTTTCAATCATAAATGGTTGTGAAAAATTTCAGACAATTTAGCATTATATTATGCTTACATCTTCTAGCTCTATATCTCTTCTCCCTTCTTCCTTTTTTCCTCCTCTCCCCATTTGCATTGCATTTTAAACACAATACACTTACTTCCTGTATCTTCCATGGGTTTGTTACAGGAAAGGGGTCCCGATCCAGATCCCAAGAGAAGGCTCTTGGATCTCACGCAAGAAAGAATTCTCAGTGCGTCCGTAAAGTGAAAGCAAGCTTATTAAGAAAGTAGAGGAATAAAAGAATGGCTACTCCATAGACAGAGTAGCCACAAGGGCTGCTGGTTGCCCATTTTTATGGTTATTTCTTAATGATATGCTAAACAAGAGGTGGATTATTCATGCCTCCCCTTTTTAGACCATCTAGGGTAACTTCCTGATGTTGTCATGGCATCTGAAAACTGTCATGGCCCTGGTGGGAGTATAGCAGTGAGGACCACCAGAGGTTACTCTTGTCACCATCTTGGTTTTGGTGGGTTTTAGGTGGCTTCTTTACTGCAACCCGTTTTATCAGCAAGGTCTTTATGACCTGTATCTTGGGCTGACCTCCTATCTCATCCTGTGACTTACAATGCCTTAACTGTCTAGGAATGCAGCCCAGTTGGTCTTGGCCTCATTTTACCAAGCCCCTAGGTAGGGTGGGGTTGCTCTGGTTCAAATACCTCTGACAGATTAGATTGGCTGAGCACCTCCCTCAAAACCCATGGCTTCCTGGAACGCAGTGTGGAGTCCTCTGCCCTACTTGAATAATACTAAAAGCATGAGCGTGTAATACACAGAATACTAAAAGGAGGTGGCTTCCCCTCTACTTTGATTGTCCTCCTCTGTCAGCTTTTCTTTGCTAATGTCCAAAATTCTATCTACAGTTTGTCTAACTTTTTGATTTTGTATGTTTTTAGGAGAAAGTAGATCAGAGTTTTTTGCACTAGCAACACAACTTCCCAATTTTAACGTGTTTATTCACTCAATAACTATTTCAGGTGCTAGTTTTATTGTGTTCTAGTTAGCATTGAACAGTGAACAGAAACAACAACAAATGGTCTTTGCCTTCATGTAACTTCGTTTCCTGGAAATGACAGTGCAGTAGGAGCCACATGGGGGAAGCACTGGGGTTCAGAAGGGATCTGGGAGAAGCCATGCCCAGGATGAGTTGGTCTGAGGAGGTGAAGGAAGGGCTGGGGCGGTAGCACTTGTGAAGGCCCCGAGATGAGAGGACTGGGTGCAGTTGGGTGATTCTGTGCAGTCCAGACTGATTGGAGTTGGGTGTGAGGTGAAATTTGAAGAGTGTGCCTGAGCCATACCTTTTAGTTGAGCTGGGTAGTACTGTGTTGTGTTTCTTGAACCTAACTTGATTATAAAACTCTACTGGGGCCGGGCGCGGTGGCTCACACCTGTAATCCCAGCACTTTGCGAGGCTGAGGTGGGCACGATTGCTTGAGGTCAGGAGTTTGAGACCAGCCTGACCAACATGGTGAAACCCCGTCTCTACTAAAAATACAAAATTAGTCAGGCATGGTGGCACACGCCTGTAGTCCCAGCTACTCAGGAGGCTGAGGCAGGAGAATTGCTTGAACCTGGGAGGCAGAAGTTGCAGTGAGCTGAGATCGCGCCACTGCACTCTAGCCTGGGTGACAGAGCGAGACTCTATCTCAAAACAAAAACAAAACCCAAAAACACTCTACTGGGGCACTTGTTAAAAATGAAGATTCCAGGCCAGGCATGGTGGCTCATGCCTATAATCTCAGCACTTTGGAAGGGCAAGGGAGGCAAATCCATTGAGCTCGGGAGTTCAAGACCAGCCTGGGCAACATAGTGAAACCCCATCTCTGTAAAAAATACAAAAAATTAGCTGGGTGTGGTGGCACACACCTGTGGTCCCAGCTACTCAGGAGGCTGAGGTGAATCACCTGAGCCCGAGAGGTCAAGGCTGCAGTGAACCGAGATTGCACCACTGCATTCCAGCTTGGGCAACATAGTGAGACCCTGTCTAAAAAAAAAAAAATAGTGTCCCAGGGTTTCTCACTGGAGATTTTGTTTCAGGAAGTTGATCTGCAGTGGGACCTGGAATTTTATACATTGAGCATAGTGCCAGGCAATGCTTATGATCAGATGATACTAATTAACCCCTGGCATCATATGATCTTCACTGTGATTGGAGTTAGAAGATTTAGCTTCATATCCTGCCTTCTCCTATCAACACACACACATACACATATACACACACACGTGCACAGGCATGCCAAATTGGCTGTTACTTATCTCACTTGTATTATTTATATCTTTTTACTCATAAAAAGACTTTGGGCTGGGTGTGGTGGCTCATGCCTGTAATCCCAGCACTTTGGGAGGCTGAGGCGGGTGGATCATGAGGTCAGGAGATCGAGATCATCCTGGCTAACATGGTGAAACTCTGTCTCTACTAAAAATACAAAAAATTAGTTGGGCGTGGTTGTGGGTGCCTGTTGTCCCAGCTACTCGGGAGGCTGAGGCAGGAGAATGGCGTGAACCCGGGAGGCAGAGCTTGCAGTAAGCCGAGACCGTGCTACTGCACTCCAGCCTGGGTGACAGAGCGAGACTCCGTCCAAACAAACAAAAAAGACTTTGAAGTTGATCTGGCTTCTACATTTGTCATTTTTCTAAAACTCTTCCCTTGTCTGGAAATCAAAGGTGTTTGCAGTGCACTAAAATCTCATCTGAGGTTGCATTTTTCTTCAACATGTTAACAGAGTAGAACTGTATCCTTTTTCACGAAAGCACAGTTACACAAAATATAGGAAGCTGTCAGTGGGAATCAGCTTTGGGCCAATATCTCAAATAAGAAATATTTGGAAGTAGTTGTGGAGTTTTGCAAGGAGTAGTTGCCAGGCATGGTGGGCTTATGCCTGTAATTCCAGCTACTCAGGATGCTGAAGTGGGAGGGTCACTTGAGCTCAGGAGCTTGAGACCATCCTGGGCAAAAAAATAAAATAAAATAAAATATCCTTTGAGGTAATGGATGAGGACTTTCCTTCTAAGAAACCAGGAAAGATGATTGCTCCAGAAAAAGGCAGACATATGGGAGGTTTTAGAATCTGATTAGTAGAATGTTGGCACAATATGATTTTAATAAGATTCTAAGGCTATTGTTTGCATCTAACTCTTTACAAATTATTTTGGGATTTGGAGTGTTATTAGATTTCTAAAATGCTGTTGTGGCACGGCTCCCTAGAGTTTCTGAATTGTGTGCCATCCTACTAATCTCTGTACCCTTTTTCCACTGGGCTTTATGGTGATGCATGTTCATAAGGAACAATGGCAAAGGAAAGCAGAGTGACCCTTGATTCGTGACTGTACCTGAAACTTCAGTGTAGAGATCTCTGGCAAACTTGGCTGGAGCGTATGGAGCTTATCATTTTCCGAAAGTATTATAGTTATCTTTGGACTTTTGTGATACTTGCTGTATTTTATCTTTTGTGGTACCCAAATCTTGGCTCACTGCAAGCTCCGCCTCCCGGGTTCGTGCCATTCTCCTGCCTCAGCCTCCCGAGTAGCTGGGACTACAGGCGCCCACCACCTCACCCGGCTAATTTTTTGTATTTTTAGTAGAGACGGGGTTTCACCATGTTAGTCAGGATGGTCTTGATCTCCTGACCTTGTGATCCGCCCGCCTCAGCCTCCCAAAGTGCTGGGATTACAGGCATGAGCCACCGCGCCTGGCCAAAAAAAGGCTGGTTTTAAACTGCTGGGCTCAACTGATCCTCCTACCTCAGCCCCCCAAAGTACTGAGATTACAGGTGTGAGCTACTGCATCTGGACTTTGAATTATATTTTAATAAAGCTTTTATATTTAAAAAGAGAAAGTGGGACTGTATAATACAGAGAGAGAGAGGGATAAATATTTTGTGAGAACCAGGTATCCCCTGAGGAAATAATTTTAATCATGACATCAGGAGGAAGGTTGATTGAAGTCAGACTAAGATAAACCTTCACTTTTTGTTCAGTATACAAAAACCAAAAACCTGGAAAAATCCTTCCTTTAACCCCCTCCACCCCCCGCCTCCATACCGTGTAATGAAGACAAATGAGAGATGCCTATAAATACTGATACAAGATAATTTGTGCCAGTTCTCTGTCCCCTTATTGAGTCAAAACTTGCTGCCAAATTTTATAAAGGAAGGATAGGTGAAATCTCACATTGGGGGCCAATCCTATCTACAGTGGTCTTAAAATTCAAGGAGACTTCATTTGCAGCAATTAAAATGAGAACAAAATGTGATTTATAGACTCATGTATAATTTTAGGCTTTGTTCTAGTTACTCTGGCCATATATCGCTTACCCCTCAAACAGTCATTCTATTTATGCGTTTTGTGGGTCTAGACTCAGAACAGCGTTCAGTGCTGACATCTTGACTTTGCTTCATGATGCCTGAGGTCTCAGCAGAAGACTCAAAGGCTTAGGGCTTGAATCATTTGAAGGCTCGCTCGCCTGCGCGTTTGGCAGTCGATGCTGGTTTGGTTGGTGGACTCAGTTCTTCTTCGTACGATCTTCTCACTGTGGCCTCTCCACATCAGTCTGGGCTTTCTCACGGTATGGCATCTGGGCTCCCAGCACAAGCATCCCGGAAGAGCAAGAGCAGAGCAAGCTATGCCGTCTGTTATCATCTATCTCCAGAAGTCCCGCACTGTACTTCTGCCGCATTCTGTGCCGCGAGGCCGTCACAGTGTCCTGGTCAGATTCACATGGAAGGAAAGAATCTCTAGACCTTGATGGAGAGGGACAACATACTAGAAGTACATAAAATACTGTTCTGAAAATATTGTTGTGGCTTTTTTTTTTTTTTGGAAAATACAGGCTGCCACAGACTGGAAGGGGACCTTTCAGGCAACCGGTCCGTTCCCTCATTTCCCAAATGAGGACACTTATGTGCAGAGGCACGCCGCATGGCCACAGCCACGGGGCATGGCCACAGTCGTATTCTGTGGTTGGTCAGGCTGGGACAGGAATGCAGCTTTTCTGACTCTAGGCTTGGGTCTTTCTCACGATGCTGCCCTACTCCCCTTTCCTAATCATAGTTCACTCACTCACCTCATAAGTGTTCCTCCCCCTGGAGTTTTCTCCGATGAGCAGACAGGATATCAGGAGCTAGACTAGCAGAGTTCCTGCACATACTGGAGATGCACGTGTTTCCTATCCTTTTCTCCCTCTGTTGTTGTTTTAATTGACCCACCGTTTTTAAGAAGTCCTAGCTGACTGGTATACTATGACAATACAATAGAATGGAGTCATTTCCTAGCGTTTGGAAACTAAATGGTAAATCTAGTTGAGCATTTCTGTTTGCCTTTTTTCAGGTGCTCAGAATTTTGATGTCATACGACTATCAACTTACAGAACAGCCTGCAAATTACGATTTGTACAAAAACGATGCAACCGTGAGTCATTTCTACTCATTTCTGTGATAGCTGGATAGAGTTCTCAATATTAGAAAAGACTTTAACATCTTTTAGTTGTATTGTAATGTTAATTGAATTATTTTTGTCTTAAGTATTTATTAGTATGTAAGCTTTGTAATGGAAGAACTTGTCATTTTACTTCTTTGTCCTTCAAAATGTTTAACAAACTCAGTCATGTAACTAGTTTTGAGGCTGTTGTAGTATTAATGTTCTTTAAATGGGAGAATGGATTTCTCTGTCACTTTTATTAAGGAAATGCTTTATGTAAAATTAATACAATTTATCAGCTGCTGGAGGAAAAGAAAAACAATGTTTTTGATAAAGGTATAATTGGAATTGATTTTCTTCATTAAGCTTAATGTAACATGAATCAACCTTTTCTATAAATAATTGCTACCATGTGGATCATAAAATAAAGTGTGTGTGTGTCTGTATATATGTATATGTATGTCTGTGTGTGTATATACTTAATCTTTCTTCTCTTTATTTCCATGAAGATGAACTAGCTCGTGACAGAATTATTGTACTTTTCTCGTGTTTGTGTGTATCAGTGGAAAAAGTATTTTATACAATGGAAAGAGCATTAACCTTAGAATTGAAAAACCTTGGTTTTAGTTTTTATTTATTTATTTTTTATTATACTTTAAGTTCTAGGGTACATGTGCACAACGTGCAGGTTTGTTACATATGTATACATGTGCCATGTTGGTGTGCTGCACCCATTAACTCGTCATTTACATTAGGTATATCTCCTAATGCTATCCCTCCCCCTCCTGCCATCCCATGACAGGCCCCGGTGTGTGATATTCCCCTTCCTGTGTCCAAGTGTTCTCATTGTTCAATTCCCACCAGTGAGTGAGAACATGTGGTGTTCACTTTTCTGTCCTTGCGATAGTTTGCTGAGAATGATGACTTCCAGCTTCATCCATGTCCCTACAAAGGACATGAACTCATCCTTTTTTATGGCTGCATAGTATTCCATGGTGTATATGTGCCACATTTTCTTAATCCAGTCTATCATTGATGGGCATTTGAGTTGGTTCCAAGTCTTTGCTGTTGTGAATAGTGCTGCAATAAACATACGTGTGCATGTGTCTTTATAGCAGCCTGATTTATAATCCTTTGGGTATATACCCAGTAATGGGATTGCTGGGTCAAATGGTATTTCTAGTTCTAGATCCTTGAGGAATCGCCACACTGTCTTCCACAATGGTTGAACTAGTTTACAGTCCCACCAGCAGCGTAAAAGTGTTCCTATTTCTCCACATCCTCTCCAGCACCTGTTGTTTCCTGACTTTTTAATGATTGCCATTCTAACTGGCATGAGATGGTATCTCATTGTGGTTTTGATTTGCATTTCTCTCATGGCCAGTGATGATGAGCATTTTTTCATGTGTCTGTTGGCTGCATAAATGTTTTCTTTTGAGAAGTGTCTGTTCATATCCTTCGCCCACTTTTTGATGGGGTTGTTTGATTTTTTCTTGTAAATTTGTTTAAGTTCTTTGTAGATTCTGGATATTAGCCCTTTGTCAGATGGGTAGGTGGCAAAAATTTTCTCCCATTCCGTAGATTGCCTGTTCACTCTGATGGTAGCTTCTTTTGCTGTGCAGAAGCTCTTTAGTTTAATTAGATCCCATTTGTCAATTTTGGATTTTGTTGCCATTGCTTTTGGTGTTTTAGACATGAAGTTCTTGCCCATGCCTGTGTCCTGAATGGTATTGCCTAGGTTTTCTTCTAGGGTTTTTATGGTTTTAGGTCTAACATTTAAGTCTTTAATCCATCTTGAATTAATTTTTGTATAAGGTGTAAGGAAGGGATCCAGTTTCAGCTTTTGACATATGGCTAACCAGTTTTCCCAGTACCATTTATTAAATAGGGAATCCTTTCCCCATTTCTTGTTTTCGTCAGGTTTGTCAAAGATCAGATGGTTGTAGATGTGTGCTATTATTTCTGAGGGCTCTGTTAGACCTGGTTTTGCCATTTATTATAAACAAATAATCTTGGGCAAATCACGTTACAGCTGATAAATTCTACTCTACTTTAAGTCTTACTCACAAATCTTAACTTAAAATTCTCTCCGAAGAGTTTATCATGCCATCCTAGATCGAAGTGATGTTTCTTTCTCCAGTGGTTTCTCAAAGCATTATTTTTTACATTGTGAGTTGTTACCCATTAATGCTTCATGAAATCATTTTGATGGGCTGTAGCCAGAATTAAAAACATATAATAGGAAAAAAAAGGAAGAAAAATAAAATATTAGAATGCAACTTATGTGGTAAGGCTAAATGTGTTCTGATATCTGGATGTATCTATGTGTTTGTGTGTGTACATGATGATTTAAATATATTTCTGTGATGATTTAAATATATTTATATATCTAGATATATGTATGTGTTTGTGTGTATATGTGTGTATGTGATGATTTAAATATATTTCTGTGCTCGTGGTCAAAAAGTTCGAAAACCACTGCCTTAGAACAACTCTCGTTTTTATAATTCCTGCCATAATTATTCTTGGGAAACAGTAGTCTACGTGTGGAGTGTTGAGAGCCTGACTAGGCTAGTGGCATTAGTAATATAAAGTAAAAGATGCATTGTTCTAAAGGTTTTATTTTGTTACCTTTCACGTAGGATTCTAGAGTTGATCTGAAAAAAATTTTGAGACTGTACAGGATAAGTAGTAGTCAGTTTTCAAGTTTTTCCATATGTATGTTCAGTTGTTCCTTTACTTTTTGTTGAAAGGGTCAATAAACAGAAGAAAATAAACAATTTTCTTCAATGCTGAAGAGTCTTCTCATGCTTATTCATTGAATATGAATATATTCATGAATCTGTACAAGTTTTTCCATATGTATTTTCAGTTGTTCCTTCACTTTTTATTGAAAGGGTCACTAAACAGTCAATAAACAGAAGAAAATAAACAATTTTCTTTACTGCTAAAGAGTCTTCCCATATTCATTCATTGAATATGAACATATTCATGAATCTGTACAAGAATGTTCATGGCAGTGTCCATATATGAGAAGGTCTGCTTTTTGACCCTCTTGTGTTCCCTGGTCTGTTTGTCTATCCTTCTACCAATACCAGACTGTTCTAATACTGCACTTTCTTGTAGCAGTAACCACTATTAGAATTTAGTAAATCTAGATGTCAGGCAAGGCAAGTCTTCCTACTTTGCTCGGCTTTTCTTTTTAAGATTCTCTGGGACAGTCTTGTCTTTTTAACATTCATTTTCATATAAACTTTAGAATCTGCTTGCCAATTTCTACTAAAACCAACAAAACAACTCTCCTGTGTTTTTTTTATTCATTTCTTTTTTCAAGTATAATTTACACACAGTAAAATTCCTCTTTTACTGTACAGTCCTGCAGAGATTTTGATTGGGATTCTGTTGAATCTGTAAATCAAGTTGGGGAGAATTGACATATTGCCAATGTTGAGATTTCCTCCTGTGAACGTGGTATATGGTCATCCCTAGAACTATTTAGGTCTTTAATTTCTTTGTAGAGATGTTGCACATCCTTCATTGGATGTTTTTTATTTTTTAAATTTTTATTTATTTATGTTTTGAATCAGAGTCGCTCTATCGCTCAGGCTGGAGTGCAGTGGCGCAATCTTGGCTCACTGCAACCTCCGCCTCCTAGGTTTGATTCTCCTGCCCCAGCTTCCCCAGTAGCTGGAACTACAGGCGCCCGCCACCATACCCAGCTAACTTTTGTATTTTTAGTAGAGACAGTTTCGCCATGTTGTCCAGGCTGGTCTCGAACTCCTGGCCTCAAGTGATCCACCTGTCTTGGCCTCCCAAAGTGCTGGGATTACAGATGTGAGCCACCACTCCCAGCCTCTTCATTGGATTTATTCCTAGGTCTTCAGTGACATGATACTATTATTTTAAAATTTCTTTTTTTTTTTTTCTTTTTTTATTTTTTTATTTTTTTTTATTGATCATTCTTGGGTGTTTCTCGCAGAGGGGGATTTGGCAGGGTCATAGGACAATAGTGGAGGGAAGGTCAGCAGATAAACAAGTGAACAAAGGTCTCTGGTTTTCCTAGGCAGAGGACCCTGCGGCCTTCCGCAGTGTTTGTGTCCCGGGGTACTTGAGATTAGGGAGTGGTGATGACTTTTAACGAGCATGCTGCCTTCAAGCATCTGTTTAACAAAGCACATCTTGCACCGCCCTTAATCCATTTAACCCTGAGTGGACACAGCACATGTTTCAGAGAGCACAGGGTTGGGGGTAAGGTCACCAATCAACAGGATCCCAAGGCAGAATAATTTTTCATAGTACAGAACAAAATGAGAAGTCTCCCATGTCTACCTCTTTCTACACAGACACGGCAACCATCCAACCTCTCAATCTTTTCCCCACCTTTCCCCCCTTTCTATTCCACAAAACCGCCATTGTCATCCTGGCCCGTTCTCAATGAGCTGCTGGGCACACCTCCCAGACGGGGTGGTGGCCGGGCAGAGGGGCTCCTCACTTCCCAGTAGGGGCAGCCGGGCAGAGGCGCCCCTCACCTCCCCGACGGGGCGACTGGCCGGGCGGGGGGCTGACCCCCCCACCTCCCTCCCGGACGGGGCGGGTGGCCGGGCGGGGGGGCTGACCCCCCCACCTCCCTCCCGGACGGGGCGGCTGGCCGGGCGGGGGGCTGACCCCCCCACCTCCCTCCCGGACGGGGCGGCTGGCCGGGCGGGGGGCTGACCCCCCCACCTCCCTCCCGGACGGGGCGGCTGGCCGGGCGGGGGGCTGACCCCCCCACCTCCCTCCCGGACAGGGCGGCTGGCCGGGCAGAGGGGCCCCTCACTTCCCAGTAGGGGCGGCCGGGCAGAGGCGCCCTTCACCTCCCGGATGGGGCGGCTGGCCGGGCAGGGGGCTGACTCGCCCACCTCCCTCCCGGACGGGGCGGCTGGCTGACCCCCCCACCTCCCTCCTGGCTGCCGGGCGTAGACGCTCCTAACTTCCCAGACGGGGTGGCTGCCGGGCGGAGGGGCTCCTCACTTCTCTGACGGGGCGGCTGCCGGGTGGAGGGGCTCCTCACTTCTCAGACGGGGCGGTTGCCAGGCGGAGGGTCTCCTCACTTCTCAGACGGTGCGGCCGGGCAGAGACGCTCCTCACCTCCCAGACGGGGTCGCGGCCGGGTAGAGGCGCTCCTCACATCCCAGACGGGGTGGCGGGGCAGAGGCGCTCCCCACATCTCAGACGATGAGCGGCCGGGCAGAGACGCTCCTCACTTCCTCACTTCCTAGATGGGATGGCGGTCGGGAAGAGGCGCTCCTCACTTCCTAGATGGGATAGCGGCCGGGCAGAGACGCTCCTCATTTTCCAGACTGGGCAGCCAGGCAGAGGGGCTCCTCACATCCCAGACGATGGGCGGCTAGGCAGAGACGCTCCTCACTTCCCAGACGGGGTGGCGGCCGGGCAGAGGCTGCAATCTTGGCACTTTGGGGGGCCAAGGCAGGCGGCTGGGAGGTGGAGGTTGTAGCGAGCCGAGATCACGCCACTGCACTCCAGCCTGGGCACCATTGAGCGCT
The DNA here is from genome assembly GCF_000001405.40 of Homo sapiens. NCBI lineage: Eukaryota > Metazoa > Chordata > Mammalia > Primates > Hominidae > Homo > Homo sapiens. Next base: position 25,633,461 of record NC_000002.12, on the reverse strand, counting down.
GAGTGAACCAGACTCCGTCTGCAATCCCGGCACCTCGAGAGGCCGAGGCTGGCGGATCACTCGCGGTTAGGAGCTGGAGACCAGCCCGGCCAACACAGCGAAACCCCGTCTCCACCAAAAAAATACGAAAACCAGTCAGGCGTGGCGGCGCGCGCCTGCAATGGCAGGCGCTGGGCAGGCTGAGGCAGGAGAATCAGGCAGGGAGGTTGCAGTGAGCCGAGATGGCAGCAGTACAGTCCAGCTTCGGCTCGGCATCAGAGGGAGACCGTGGAAAGAGAGGGAGAGGGAGAGGGAGAGGGAGAGCTATTTTAAAATTTCATTGTTATGTTGCTGATGTACAGAAATACAGTGATCTTGATCTTGATCTTATTTCTAGCAATTGTTCTCGACTCATATTAATTTATCTGTAGAATCTTTGATTTCTATGTACATAGTTTTGTTATTTCTGAATAATGACAGTTTCAGTTACTCATTTCCAATACACTGATTATTTCTTTATCTGAATATTTGTATTGGTTTGGCCTCAAGTACTACAGAAATGATGATAGTGGGCATTTTTTATCTCATTCCCATTATCAGAGCAAAACCTTTCATTTTACTATTAAGTAATATGTTTGTGGCAAGTCCTTTGTAGATAACATTTGTCTTAGCCTGTTTTCTGTTGCTTATAAGAGAGTACCTGAAACTGGGTGATTTAAAAAGAAAGGAATTTATTTTGTACAGATACGGAGGCTGGGAAGTCTAAGATTGAGGGGCCATATATGTTGAAAACCATCTTGCTGCTGGGGACTCTCTGCAGAGTCTGGAGGCCATGCACACCATCCCATGGTGAGGAGGCTGAGTGTGCTAGTGCAGGTCTCTCTTCCTCTTTTTATAAAGCCACCAGTCCTACTCCCATGATAACTCATTAATTAGTCCGTTAATCCATGGGTGGATGAAGGCAGAGCCCTCATGACTCAATGACCTCTTAAAGCCCACCTCTCAGTACTGCCACACTGGGGATTAGATTACATTTCAACATCATTTTTGCAGAGGACAAATATTCAAACCATGACAACCTTAATCAGATTAAGAAAGTTTCCTGATAGTGTATTTCTTCATTTCTAAAAATAAGGTTTCCTTTAAAAGTTGTCTTTTGATTATGATTTCTAACTTAATTTCATTTTGATCAGAGAGCATGGTTCATATGATTTTAATCCTTTAACATTTATTGAGATTTGCTTTATGGCTCAGGATATGGTCAATTTCTTTTTTTTTTTTTTTTTTTTTGAGACAGAGTCACGTTCTGTGGCCCAGGCTGGAGTGCAGGGCTGAGATTTCAGCTTACTGCACTTCGCCTCCCAGGTTCAAGCGATTCTCCTGTCTTGGCCTCCCGAGTAGTTGTGATTAGAGGTATGAGCCACCACACCTGGCTAATTTTTGTATTTTTAGTAGAGATGGGGTTTCACCATGTTGGCCAGGCTGGTCTTGAACTCCTGACCTCAAGTGATCCACCCACCTCGGCCTCCCAAAGTGCTGGGATTACAGGCTTGAGCCACTGTGCCCGGCCAAGGATGTGGTCAATTTTTATATGTATCTTTGCGTACTTGAAAATAAAACATATTCTCTCATCAGTGGAGGCTGTACTTTATATAGTGCTCATTATGCCTACTTTGTTAGTTGTGAAGTTTAATTGTCTGTATCTGTACTTTTTGAGTGTGTATTTGCACTATCACTTATTAAGAGAGGTGAGTTAATATCTCCCACTAAGCTTCTGAATTCCTTTGTGTCCCTTTGAGGTTATGTTTATTTTTGTTTTATATGTTTTGAGACTATTCTGTTAGATGTAAATAAATATAAAGTTCCTGTATCTTTCTTTATTTTCTTTTTTCTTTCTTTTTTTTTTTTTGACCACAGGGTCTCACTTCGTCACTCAGGTTGAAGTGCAGTGACACAATCATAGCTAAATGCAGCCTTCAACTCCTGGGCTTAGGCAATCCTCCTGCTGTAGCCTCCCCAATAGCTAAGACTACAGGGATGTGTCACTATGCCTAGCTAATTAAAAAAAATTTTTTGTGGAGATGGGATTCCACTATGTTCTCCAGGCTGGTCATGAACTCCTGGCTTCAAGCTAAGCCAGGAGTGGGATTACAGACATGAGCCGCTGCACCAAGCCTCTGATATCTTTCTTATGAATTAAAACTTTTATCATTATTCGCTGACCCTCTTTAACAATATGTTTTGTCCCACCATTAAAAATTACATAAAATTCATATACTATAAAATTCACCCTTTTAGAGTGTACAGTCTTTTCACTGATTTTTAGTATATCCACAAAGTCGTACAACCATCATCATTATCTAATTCTAGAACATCTTCATCACCCCAGAAACAAACCACATACCCATTAACAGTCACTCCACATTCCCTTCATCTCCCAGCTCTGGCAGCTACTAATATACTTTTTTTTAATGGATTTGCCTATGTGGACATTTCATATATATAGAACCTTAGAATATTTGGTATCTTTTATTTTTAACTGTCTGGTATCTTTTACTTAGAATAATGTTTTAAGGGTTTATCCATATTGCAGAATGCATCAGCACTTCATCCCCTTTTTTTTTTTTTTTTTTTTTTTGGGACGGAGTTTCACTCTTGTTGCCCAGGCTGGAGTGCAGTGGTGTAATCTTGGCTCACTGCAAGCTCCGCCTCCCAGGTTTAAGCGATTTTCCTGCCTCAGCCTCCTGAGTAGCTGGGATTACAGGCGTGTGCCACCACACCTGGCTAATTTTGTATTTTTAGTAGAGATGGGGTTTCTCCATGTTGGCCAGGCTGGTCTCGAACTCCCAACCTCAAGTGATCCACCCGCCTCGGCCTCCCAAAGTGCTGGGATTACAGGCATGAGCCACCGTCACCGTGCCTGGCCACTTCATCCCTTTTTTTGGTCAAATAGTATTCCATTATATGCATATGCCACATTTTATTTATCCGTGTATCTATATTGATGGACATTTGGGTTGTTTTCACTTTTGGCTTTTATGAATAATGCACCTATGAACATTTGTACAAGATTTTGTGTAGACATATGTTTTCAATTCTGTAGGAGTGGAATTGCTGGGTCGTATGGGACCTGTGTGTAACTTCTTAAGGAACTCCTAAATTGTTTTCCAAAGCAGCTGCATGCTTTTGCATTTGCACCAGCAGTTTATGAGAATTTCAACTTCTCTACATCCTCGCTGACCCTTGTTTTCCATTTAAATAAAAAGTCTAGCTATTCTGGCTGGTGTGAAGTGGTATGTTATCGTAGTTTTCTTTTGCATTTCCCTAAATGACTAATGATGTTGAGCATCTTTTCATGTGCTTGTTGGCCATTTGTATATCTTCTTTGGATAAATATCTATTTAAATTATTTTCCCATTTTTAAATTGGGTTATCTTTTTTTAATTGTTGAATTGTAAGAGTTTTTATGTGTCTGGATCCCAGACCCTTAATGGATGCATGGTTTACAAATATTTTTTTCCATTCTTTGGGTTGCCTTTTCACTTTCTTGATAGTATCCTTTGAAACACAGACTTTTAAAATTTAAATAAAATGCAGCGTATCTCTTTTTTGCTGCCTGTACTTGAAGTGTCTTGTTCCTGATCTTGAGGGGAGAGCTTTCAGTCTTCCCTGATTAAGTATGATGTTGGCATTGGGATTTGTTGTAGATGCCCTTTATCAGGTTGAGGAAGTTTTCTTCTGTTTTTAGTTTGTTGTGTTTTTATTATGAAAGGGTATTTGATTTTTCCAAATGCTACTTCTATGTCTATTGAGTTGATCATATGGTTTTCCAAGCTCCGCCCTCCCCCCTTTTTTTCCTGTTACGAATAAAGTTACATCACCTTTGTTTTGGTTGAAAATTGTCATCCACTTATATTTAAATCTTTTTTATGTCCTTTTGTTTTAGACATATCCCTTACAAACAGCGTATAATTTGGTTATTTAAAAAATTGTGAATTTGTCAGTCTTTGTCTTGTAAGTGGTACGTTAGTGTGTTTATAGTCACTGCAGTTAACTGACATATTTGGGTCCGCACCAGCCATCTTTTCTTGTGCTATTTTTGCTGCTTGTTCTGTGTTTCTTGCCTTCTTTTGAATAGTTGTGTTTTCCTAATTTCAGTTCTTCCCCTAGTTTTTCAGCGTTGGAAAGTATACTTTCAGATTTCCTTTACTTGAAAATGTCTTTATTGAACCTTTTTTCTTGAAAGTTTTTTTATACTAGGTGTAGAATTTTGTTGGTGGTTTTGATTTCTTTTCAACACATTAAAATTATTTTGCAGTCTTCTGCTTCCTTTGTTGCTTGAAGTCAGGCATCATTCTTAATTATTTTTCTTTCAAGGAAATGTCTCTTTTCTGTGTAGTTGAGTATTGTTTACTTTTTTTGTGCACTTAAGAAGTTTTTATATTCCATCCAGGAATTTTTGTCGTTTTCAAGAAGAGTGTAGACCCAGCTACCGCGCCTACTTTATTACTGGAAATGGAATTTAAAAGAAAGTCAGCCTCTTAAATAATGGAGGAAATATGCAGTAGATAAATTTATTTTTGGCTGAGCTATGAGTTGTTCAGAGCTCTGAGTAGCCTCTAAAGCATATTAATATTTTACTTAATGCAGTTGTATTTGTCTCTCTCTTTAGGGTCATACAGTAAAGTTTCAGTTGTAAAATGTTGCTTTAGTTGCTCGGCTAAAGTAATACAGTAAAGCTGACTCAAGGTAATACAGCAAATTTTCAAAAAGACTAGAAGTTCTTAGGAGTAGTTCTTGATCTTTTTATCAAGTTATCCATTGTTAGGAATTGCATGGGTCACTATTTGCAGAGACGTGAAATACTCGCTATTTAAATGTGAAGGCTGGAAGTAGTCCTTCCCATACCGCTGTGGTGGCTCCTTGATGTTGTCTGGGACTGATGTTCTTTATTTGACCACAGAATGTTTTCCTCATTGTTGGCTAAAGAGTTTCTTCTCTTTAAACTTAAGAACTAGTTGATAAATTTTAGATTCCTATTGTGAAGGGTAGTACCACACTTTAAAATTGTTGACAGTTTATTTTCTTTGTCTTTTAGTTCATCTTGTTGATATCTGGAACATGATTGAAGCCTTCCGAGACAATGGCCTTAATACACTGGACCATACCACCGAGATCAGTGTGTCCCGCCTCGAAACTGTCATCTCCTCCATCTACTATCAGTTGAACAAGCGCCTTCCTTCTACTCACCAAATTAGTGTGGAACAATCTATCAGCCTCCTCCTCAACTTTATGATTGCTGCATATGACAGGCTAGTAGTACCTTACCTTACACGCTTACTTCATTTTAAGAACACCTGTCTCTGAATCATTCTTCTTCCATACTGCCGTGCTAAGTTGCCTTGCTAAGCTGGCAACTTAGAATCATGATTAAAAGGGAAATTATTGGCTGGGCACGGTAGCTCACAGCTGTAGTCCCAGCACTTTGGGAGGCCAAGGAGGGCAAATCACAAGGTCAGGAGATGGAGACCATCCCGGCTAACACGGTGAAACCCCGTCTCTACTAAAAATACAAAAAATTAGCCGGGCGTGGTGGTGGGCGCCTGTAGTCTCAGCTACTTAGGAGGCTGAGGCAGGAGAATTGCTTGAACCCAGGAGGCAGAGGTTGCAGTGAGCAGAGATTGCACCACTGCACTCCAGCCTGGGCGACAGAGCGAGACATTGTCTTAAAAAAAAAAAAAAAAAAGGAAAATTATTCGGTGTAAGCCCCTCTAGAAACTGGTTCACAGTGACTTACTGTCCTAGAGTATGTCATATATTAAACTCTGGAATATTGTGGAGAATCACATTTGAGATGTATTGTTTGGGAAAATTATAGATACCTTAATACAGCTGTCCTCCAGCTCATGAAAAACACTAAGTTTTGAATTTGATTATGGGGCTTTCTATTTGACTTCTAAGTCTCCTCTTTCTTTTTTCTTCTATGCCTAGTTTGTTCAGAAGGCTAATCTTTACTCTGTAACATCAAATATTGGACTATAGTAACTGATTTTCTCTCTTTTTTTTTTGAGATGGAGTTTCTCTCTTGTTGCCCAGGCTGGAGTGCAATGGTGTGCAAGCTCGGCTCACCACTACCTCCACCCCCCGGGTTCAAGCGATTCTCCTGCCTCAGCCTTCCAAGTAGCTGGGATTACAGACATGCGCCACCACGCCCAGCTAATTTTGTATTTTTAGTAGAGACAGGGTTTCTCCATGTTGGTCAGGCTGGTCTCAAACTCCCGACCTCAGGTGATCCGCCCACCTTGGCTTCCCAAACTGCTGGGATTACAGGTGTGAGCCACCACACCTGGCCAAACAGATTTTCTCTTTATGTCTAGGAACCTATTTTAAATTTTTTCATTGCAGAACATAGTTTAGTAGATCTTGAAACAAAAGAAGAAAACTATTTAAATGTACTCCAATTAAAACGGAAATGATTTGCTGCACTTATATTCGTAGAGAATTGAGTTGGTATTGTAAAGAATGAAACAACAAAATTGTAAAGCACAGATTTATGATTGTGGAAGTACAGAGGTTAAATGGTGATGTTCTGTGAACCAAGAGTTCCAGTTTCTGCTATACTCTTGGCCATCTGATTTGAATGGATTGTCTCTGCTTCATTTTTTGCTGTCTGTAGACCTTCTTTGAGTTCATACATTTGTAAAATGCTATTAGTTATATCTTATAATAGGGAGGAGTCTGTGAATTAGTGGTAACACTATGGAAATGTCAAAGCCAAGTCATAATTTAAGCACTCACTAAATTCACACCATTTTTATAAGCCGTTATCAGATTAGACATTGTATCCGTTTAATAGAAAATTATTAAAGAAATTTACTTATTTTTTTGAGATGGGGTCTTGCTGTGTTTCCCAGGCTGGTCTAACTACTGGGCTCAAACAGTCTTCCCTCCCCAGCCTCTCTAGTAGCTGGCATTACAGGTGTGTACCACTGTGCCCGGCAGAAATCTGAATTTTAAAAATAAGAGTGTGTAAGTGTCATAAGTCCCAGAATTCTAATGCCATTTTTTAGTAATTTTAGTTAGTGACTCCATAGGTTAATTTTTTCCTGCTCAGGAACTGTCTTTTTGTTTCAAAACCCTTAGTAAAAATTGTTATTCTGTAATAAGTAAGCAGCACCTTATCATGACACTGACTCACTCAGTAAACCAATTCATGGGTCACACAACACAAATTAACTCAAGAAACAATATTTTTTAAAGTCAGAAATTAAAACCATCTTACTGTCTAAAAATGGTCAAGCAGAGATTAAAATCTTGGATTCCATAATCATGTCAAGTAAGTTAAATACTATGGCGCTTTAGTCTACTGGGCTGCTCTAACAAAATGCCATGAACTGGACTCTCTATAAACAACACAGATTTATTTCTTACAATTCTGGAGGCTGGGAAGTTCAAGATCAAGGTAGATTCTGTGTGTGGGGAGGGCCTCCTTTCTGGCTCCTAGACGGCACCTTTTTGTGGTATCCTCACATGACAAAGGGGCAAAGGAGTTCTCGGGAACCTCTTTTATAAGGGCACTAATCCCGTTCATGAGGACCCCCTCGTGACCTAATTATCTTCAGAAGGTCCCACCTTCTAATACCGTACCTTGGGGGTTAGGATTTCAACATGTGAATTTTGGGGAACACAGGCATTCAGGTTATAGCATATGGCTAAAGAAGGGAGAGGAAGGAAGAGGGCAGAGATGGCAAAAGGGAGAATGGGAGGACCAAACTCAGAAGCAGAAGGTACAAGGATATCCTGGGCCATATTCCGAGAAAGCTAGACACATACAGAGAGACGAGAATAAGTGGACAGTGAATCAGTTGAAGGCAGATGTGTAGAAACACACACCGAAAATAACTAGCAAAAAAAAAAAAAAAAAAAAAAAATGAGTGAGTTAAGAAGAGTAAGGGGTATAGTATGTTATTAGTGAGTTGGGTAATTTTTACTTTGATGTGTTTAAAACATAGACCATGGTATCAGAATAAATGATCACATCTTTACTAACTTTGATACCTTTATATAATAGAGCTTATTTGGCTATCTGGAAGCTTAAAATTGACCTTCTTGTGTTGGAAAAAAAGAAAGAATCTGGTTATCAGAATGTTAATTTTGAAAACCAGGGCATTTTGTCGTTAAATACTTCAAATGTTAGTCTTTTTATTGATTGGCCGCTTTATTACTTAGGCTGGAGAGTTCCTTTTATACATAGACAACCTAGTTATTTATTTTAATTGAGGCTTCCAGCCTTTGTATTTCATAATTCCATAAGGTTAAAGTTTGAAAGCAAAAATTATTTAATCTTCTCTCACCTCCAAATTTATAGTCCCTGTGTTTGGCCAGATGATTTCTGATCATTATAATAAGAGAGTATAAGACCCTACAACAACGGTCAGGAACAAATAGGATCTAAGACTTTTCCTTAAGTATTTTCTTAAGACCTAATTTTTTTTAATACTGAGAGTTCTGAATATGTTATATTTTGATAATTAAAAACATTGAAAAGCACAGAGACCAATATTCACAAAACACCTGGGTGTAGAATCTTAGTGAAAGCCACAAGGAGTTGTGAAAACACTGATAGCTGCATTTTTTTCCTCTCAGTTTCTCCGGTACAATGTTATTGGTAGTCATACAGTCTGGTGCAAAGGTACAACAAAGGTGCTTTAACCAATATAATAACGATATCCAAATTCCCAGCATGAGATAGAGGAGGTCTTCCTTACTCTTCTATAGCTGAGCCAGTTTCACACTTTAAGGTTTGTTACTTAAAAATCCCCTTTCTATTTCCAACCTTTGTGTTAGTCCAGTGTCTTTAGCTGTAAAAAGCCTACCCACATGGCCTTTTCATAACAACATGTGTATAGGCTGACAAACTGAGGGGTCCAGAGGCAGGCCAGCCCCTCATCTTGGTTGCATCAGAGCTCTGGCTTTATTTCTTTGCGCGGCTTTGCCCCCTTCTTGTATCAGCTCCATCCTTAGGCTGACTTCACAAAATCCCTGTGAGCAGCTTCTACTAAATGCCTCCTCTTTGAAGTTGAGGTTAAGGAAGAGTTGGCTTCTTTGAACACCGAGCAGAAGTACCCATCTTTTAGACACCCATGACACAGCCTCAGGAGGTCCTGACAATGTGTGCCCAAGGTGGTCAGAGCACAGCTTGCTTTTATACATTTTAGGAAGACATGAGACATCAATCAGATACGCTTAAGATTTACATTGGTTTGATCTGGAAGGGTGGGACAACTTGAAGAGGGACAGGGAGCTTCCAGGTCATAGGTAGATTTAAACATATTCTGATTGGCAGTTGGTTGAAAGAGTTATGATAAAGAGTTGTGGAGAGCTAGGTTTTATCACACAGATGAAGCCTGCAAATAGTAGGCTCTAGAGAGAATAGACTGTAGATGTTTCTTCTCAGACTTAAGGTCTGTGTTGATGTTAACACTGGAGGGTATCATGAGGCATGTCCATCCCCAGCTTCCCATCATGGCCTTAACCAGTCTTTCTGGTTAAATTTCAGAGTGCCCTGGCCCAGGAGGGAGTCCACTCAGATGGTTGCAGGGGGCCTTTGAATTTTATTTTTGGTTTACACTTACAATCTAATATCTAGATTTCCTGTGGTTCTTTTTGTACTGTTTGTTGTTTCTGGTTTTCATTAATGATGTTTTATTTCCTATTTGCTTTGTTATTTTTTATTATAGGCTGAACATTATATAGCAAAATTATTTTTATTATATACCAAACATTATATTGCAGAATTATTTGCAGGGATAATTTGAGGCCTAGGATGATGTTTTCTTCAAGAAAGGATGTGTGTTTGCTTCTTCCAGGTGCCTGGAGACCTTAACAATCCAGGATCACGTCAATTCAGTTTCTTAATCAGTACATGTGAGGACCTGTTTACTTCTGGACACGATTACCTTTAGGTGAAGCCTTTGGGCTCTGAGCCCAAACTAATAGGAGAGTAGGGTAAGCAGGACCACGTGTCCTGCCAAGGGACCCCTTCTGCCTTGGCAAGTCCAAGCCTCCATGTCTTTCTCCTTGTCCCCAGTACCATCAAAAAGTTACTCTATACTTCAGCAATTTTGCTTCCCCCTCTGGAATCAAATCACTTACATGGAAAAAGTGATTTCATCCATTGCACTCACCTCCCTGGACATCCAGCCTCTCCTGCATTTGGTAACTTCAGTTGTTAGTTCTCAACAATTTATATTCAAGGAGATTTTTTAAAACTTTCCCCATCTTTTCTTTTTTGCTCAGAGGAAGAGTTGATCAGAATCACCTAGGGTGCTATTACCAGAAGCTCATTATTTCTTCAAATATTTCCTCTGTTTTTGTTTTCTCGTTTTCTGATTGTTGGCATTTCTACTTCTTTCCTCTTTATCTATTAGTGTTCCTCACATATGGTTTAATTTCTTTAACTTTGTTTCCTTTTGGAAGAGTTTATTGATCTGCCTTTCTGCTCATTAATTTGTTCTTCCTCTGGAGCCATCCTACTGTTTATTCCATCTGTTATTTCTTTAGCTATTATATTTTCTATATGTAATATATCTGATTTTTCTTTTTTGGGATTTGTGGTTCTTGTTTCGTATTGTCTTTTTAAACATGTTTATTCTTAGTTTTAAATTCTTGGTCCATTTGTTCTAGGACTTATGCTTCCAAACCTGGTGTATGTTGTTCTGTTTTGTTTTGTTTTTCTAAGTAGTTGTATCCCTGTGTCTAAGGACTAGCCAAGGAGTGGATGTTTGCTGAGAATGTGGGCAGAACTTGGACATGTGGGCTAGAGTGTTCACATGCATGCATAGTCCTTTCAAGCATGGGATGTGCTGGAGGTGGGAAGAAAAGGGGATCAGGTTCTTCCCACGTAGGAGTATGGGGTGCCTTACAGTTCTAAATTTGAACATGACATTTCTGGCCATTATAAAGGTATGTTAGTCAAGGTACAAAGATGGAAATAAATACATATATTTATTTATTTTTCTGTCGTCCAGGCTCTAGTGCAGTGGCACAATCTTGGCTCACTGCAACCTCCACCTCCTGGATTCAAGCGATTCTCATGCCTCATCCTCCTATTTGGGACTACAGGCATACGCCACCACGCCTGGCTAATTTTTATATGTTCAGTAGAGACGGGGTTTTGCCATGTTGGCTAGGCTGGTCTCAAACTCCTGGCCTCAAGTGATCCACCCGACTTGGCCTCCCAAAGTGCTGGGATTGAATACAGCCATAAGCCACTGCACCCGGCCAGATTGCTCTTATACTTTATTTCTGACTGTTGAATCTTATTTTTTCCTCTGATATATTTCATCCATTTATGTTTTACAAATGAGTCTGTGGCCTTTACCAAAAGTGTTGGTTCAGAAATAGAATGAAATTTCACCTTAAAAATGGAATAAACTGGTAAAAAAAAAAAATGATGTATCTAATGAAACTAGTTTGGACAAAGTCTGTAAAATACATCTAAATCTTAAAAAATACAAAATACGGTATTGAACACATCATTTAAAGGCCTAGGGTTATTGTTTACCATCTACAATAACACTCAGTAGAAAACATTCTTGCTAATTTGAACAATCGAAAGATTCCTTTGGTGTAAAGATACTTATATAATTTATAATAGAGTTATATGAAAAAATTCCTGTGTAGTTTGCAAATGTGGCTAACAACCATTTAAAAATGTTGGTTTAGGCTGGGTGCAGTGGCTCATGCCTGTAATCCCAGCACTTTGGGAGGCTGAGACAGGCGGATCACCTGAGGTCGGGAGTTCAAGACCAGCCTGACTAACATGGAGAAACCCCATCTCTACTAAAAAAAAAAAAAAAAAAAAAAAAAAATTAGCCAGGCATGGTGGTGGTGCATGCCTGTAATCCTAGGGAGGCTGAGGCAGGAGAATCGCTTGAACCCGGGAGGCGGAAGTTGCGGTGAGCTGAGATCACACCACTGCACTTCAGCCTGGGCAATAAGAGCAAAACTCCGTCTCAAAAAAAAAAAAAAAAAGTTGATTTAGCAGTTTAATTTGAATCCATTTAAAAAGTTATATTGTTCCCCCTTAATACTGAATGTTTAAAACAAAACAATACAAAACAAAGCAGAAACAAACCAGTCCATTTCAAATAAAAGCAAATGTCTTCCATAAATTCTTAATCTGCCCAGCCTAGCATGTTATGGAATGGATGTTGCTGATAAAAGATAATATTAGGTTACAGTCTTCTTCATTAGTGATTTTTAAACAAAACTGTAATTTCCTGGGAGGCACAGACATTTCATATGTTGGTGTACAGTATTTATTTACATCCCTGCTTGTTTTTAGAAGGATTCAGGATCATAAGAAAAAAGCCAGCCAAGTAAGATCAGAGTCCTATGCTGAGTGGGAAGATTTTCCACCGTTGTAGCACATTTAAATTTTCTTTTTTTTAAGAGACAAGGTCTTGCTCTGCTGCCCAGGCTGGAGTGCAGTGGCATGATCATAGCTCACTGCAACTTTGAACTCCTGGGCTCAAGCAGTTCTCCTGCTTCAGCCTCCGGAGTGGCTGGGACTGTTGGGTGCGTGCCATCATGCCTGGCTATTTTCTTTTGCTTTTTAAAATTTCAGAGCTGTTTCTCAGTGTGAACAGGCTATTTATTTTATTTTTTATTTTTTGTAGAGACAGGGTTTTGCTTTGTTGCCCAGAGTGGTCTTGAACTCTTGGCTTCAAGGGATTCTCCAGCCTCGGCCTTCCAGAGTCTTGGCTTACAAGCATGAGCCACCACACCTGGCCATCCATCACTTACTTACTCTTTATCTTGTAGCTTTTCTTCCAACAGAAGTCATGAGTTTGTGCTAATTTACAAATAAGAATCTTCTGAATTCAGAATATGCAGACTTGCAAAGGGTTTTACCATTAACTAATCTTTCAGAAAATTTTTTTTGTTTATTCTTTTGTGCTTTTCATTTATTTTTTTAAAAGAAAGGGCAGGAGGAATGCTTTATTCTGAGTGTGTTTCTTTTTCCTTGCCTTTGTTTTCTTCTGAAACAGAGAGAAGTAGTAACAAGTCCAGAGAGACTTCTCCTGTCCATTCAGTACCTCACTTCGAAATTAATCTGATCAAGACACTGTTTCATCATGTAACTTCCCACTTCAGAAACCTTCAGAGAATCCCTGTGGTTTTGAATTAAGCTCACACTCCTCCGTTGGTTTAATGATAACACTGCTTACCTCCCTGCCCACACCAACCTCTAATTACGCTCCTGGAGACGCTCTTCTTTTCCAATATGACATGCTCATTTTCCCCAGACAGATGCCATGCGTTTTGTTCCCCCTCAGCTCCCACATCTGTCTGGGATTACCCAGTCTCCTTTTGTTCTGTCCAAATCTTTTCTATTTCTGAGAATTCAACCCAGATTTTTTTTTTATTATTTTTTTTGAGACAGAGTCTCACTCTGTCGCCCAGGCTGGAGTGCAGTGGCGCGATCTCAGCTCACTGCAACCTCCGCCTCCCGGGTTCAAGTGATTCTTCTGCCTCAGCCTCCTGAGTAGCTGGGATTACAGGTGTGTACCACCACGCCTGGCTAATTTTTGTATTTTTAGTAGAGATGGGGTTTCACCATGTTGGTCAGGCTGGTCTCAAACTCCTGACCTCCTGATCTGCCCACCTCGGCCTCTCAAAGTGCTAGGATTACAGGCTTGAGCCACTGCACCCGGCCTCAACCCAAGTTTTTACCTACCATGTAGCCTGCCTTATTATCACCAATCCCATTTTCATCCTTTTGATGACTTACAGTTCTTGTTTATATTATTATTTTGGCCTTTAATTACATAAGGTTGTAAACTGCTTCATAAGTGTTCAAAATGGAATGGATGTCCGTGAGAGCAGAGATTCTGCTTTATATTTCTTTCATTCCTCAATTAGTATAATGCTAGATTATTTATAAATGTTTATAAGATTGAAATGAAAAGCAGCAGGCATTCTGATTGTGATAAAATTGAATAATATTCTAAGTTGATTTTACTTGATTAAAGCTGTTTGACATTTGCCAAATGGATTCTTGATTTGCAGTTGATTATTGCAACATCCATTCACTGTGAAGTTTTGTAAATTAAGATTAATTGGCAGAATGCGAGTTTTTGAAAATCAAAGAGAGATGCTCTTATTACGTTTAGCTACATATGATAATCGGACTGGTAATAGTGTTTCTGAAGTTGAAGTTTGTTTCCGTGTGAGAAATTTGTGGTTGGCAGCATCCACAATCATTTGCTAAAGAGATAGAAACAGCTTGTGTTAAGTACAAAATACTACCCGTAGTCTTGTTTTCAAAAGTATTAATTTGAATAGCAAACTCCTACTAGATAGTGTAAAGCTAGAAACGTCATCCAGATTTGGTTAGTTTTAAATATTGAAAGACAGAATTTGAGACCTTATTGAACTGAAACGAATGATTTCCCATCCACAGGGAACAGGTGGGGACTTCAGAGGCTTCAGAAGGTACCTGCATGTTAAAACATAACAGCGTTTATTCAGGGTGACTCATTGTCTGCTTAGCTTGGCACAGAGCTAATAATGGTGTTTTCTCAGTGTTGGATAATAACTCTTTTTAGAAGTCATATGCATAGTTTATTGTCAGACTGTAAAATGATAGGGCTATGGAAATGAATCATGCAGAGAAGGCTGAGAAAGGGATCATCATGTCCCTTACTGAAGGAGGACATTCCCTGGAGGGCTTCTATTTGAGTGGGGTTAAAATCACAAGTTTCTTCTGTCTTATCATCTCAACAAATATTACCTGTTTATCTTTTCATCTTAGTGTCTTGATAGAGGGGTTCGTATTCACTGTTAATGGCGTTATATTTCAAATGTTGACCTACCAATCAACTCTGTAGCTATCATAGGCCAGATTTGAAGTGAGTAACATTATTTGTGATGAAACCAGGTTAAATATCATTTCCAAATCTTGTTTGAAGAGAATTGATTCTGGTATAAACTTGGACTTTACATTGGAAGTAGTGAAAACATGGACATTGGTGAGGACATGTGCTGTGGCCACTGGCAGCTAATTATTCAGTTTCAACTTGACCAGTGTATACAGAATAATTTCAGATGTCTCGTGGGAAGGATCAAGAATGAGTTCTTCCAAGAAGAAGGAATCAGTTAGATAAAGAACAAAGTCGGGCGGTATCAGGGTGCTGAGGAGCTGCAGTTTTCTCTCTGCTTGCCTCTAGTTGTAGAGGAAGAATGCTGGGGCTCTAAAGAAACATTAGAAAAGCAAAAGTAATGCTTCCTCTTGGCCTTGTTTAGAGGCAGTTGTAGGAAGTTAGGCTTAAAGTAGACTGAGGGGTTTCAGTGCCAAGAAAAGCATTCTGTGCAGAGGAGTCACTGCTGATGTTTGGCCTGCAAAGCAAACAATTGAGAGAAAAGAGCTAAGTTTTTTTTCTTTTTGAAGGGAAAAATATAAGTAACGTGATTTGTGGAAGTAAGGATGTTGAGACTACCCCTTCATTAATTTTATCGGATAACTATTTCTTTATGCCAAGTTATACTGGAATTTTAAAGTAGGTATCTTTAATAAGTTTCTTTTTAAATTTTTTATTGAGACAGGGTCTTGCTCTGTTGCCCATGCCAAAGAGCAGTGGCGTGATCTTGGCTCACTGCAACCTCCACCTCATGGGTTCAAGCGATTCTCCTACCTCAGCCTCCCATGTAGCTGGAACTACAGGCGCGTATCACCACACCTGGCTAATTTTTGTATTTTTATTAATACAGTTTGAGGCTGGTCTCAAACTCTTGGTCTCAAGTGATCCACCTGCATTAGCCTCCCAAAGTGCTGGGATTGCAGGCGTGAACCACGACGCCTGGCTTCTTTAATAAGTTTCTATAACTGTATTTAAATATACAATTATAACTTTTGTGTATATTTTTGTTTATATTAATATTTCCTTTTGAAGAGTGTATAAACCTTTTGATAGCACTAACTGTGAACCTAAAGTGGTAAATGAAAAGTGATTTGAATGGGGAAGAAGGGTTAATAATTAACACCTCGAGCCCACTGCCCCATTCTCAGGATGCATACTTAACTTATGAATGTATTCTTAAACATAAAGGTTCACTAAGTATTTTCGCCAAATCTCTCCTGTCTGTAAATTCATCCCGCTCACATTTACTATGATCCTTAATCTCAGATTCCTCTACTTTTACCTGAACTTAAAACTCCTTCCACTGTGCTTATACAGTCTGTTTATCCTGTTGAGTTACAGATTGACACTTTGGTGCATATCCCCTGACCCTTAATAAAGCCTGTGATGTTAAGCACGCATACATTTGTTCACCTGAAAGTGCATACAGGTGGAGGGAAGAGAAGATTCGTAGTTTGTTGGGTGGGAGATTATGTGTGGAGATTTCTACGTGGCTGTTGTGAATAAGAAAAATGGTTAAACAGTGGATCTCAGAGATGGTATGTTAAGGGACCACACATTACTGGCAATACTTAATTGAGGGGTTAATGAGTCTTTTTTTTCCTTTTTTTTTTTTTTTTTTTTTGAGACGGGGTCTTGCTCTGTCGCCCAGGCTGGAGTGCAGTGGCGCGATCTCGGCTCACTGCAAGCTCCGCCTCCTGGGTTCACGCCATTCTCCTGCCTCAGCCTCCTGAGTAGCTGGGACTACAGGCCCCTGCCACCACGCCCGGCTAATTTTTTGTATTTTTAGTAGAGATGGGGTTTCACCGTGTTAGCCAGGATGGTCTCGATCTCTTGACCTCGTGATCCACCAGCTTTGGCCTCCCAAAGTGCTGGGATTAGAGGCATGAGCCACTGCGCCCGGCCAAGTCTTTTTTTTTTTTTTTACTATAAATAGCCTGATCTAGATTATTCTGTAAATTAACAGATTCTTTCATCGGAGACCAGCCATTGAGACTAATAATAATCTTAATGAATGGAAAAATACAAGTGTTTTAGTGCTGATCCAGGTTAATTGAGAATTATATCTGTTATTCTGTATTTGAATATGAGAGTCTCTGAATCTAGGACTAATATTTACAACAGGGTTGAGTCAAAGGATATTTTGAATAAGGATGCAAAGTGTTGTAAAATATTAGTGTTTCTAAAAACATTTTGAAGATTAAGAAAATGTTGTACAAGTGCTAATTATTATAATATATAGAAGTAAAGATATCATAGTACCCATGAAGATCCATTGTGTAATGTTTATGGATGGGTATTAATGAGGTAAGTCTCTTCTCAGGAAGAGTTGCAAGTGTGACCTGGCTCTCTTGCTAGTGTGCTGGACTCTGCCACACTTTCCTGTCTGTCTGCATAGATAGCAACAGTTTCTTTTCTGCAGCAAGGAATAGATACAGTTTTGTCTCTTTGAAGGAGGAGAGATTTGGAGCCAGAAAGATTTACACAACTGCAGTGTGATTAATTTTCTGTAATCTTTTATTATGTCCTTTGATTTATCACTGCCAACAAAATAAAAGCTAAAGTCTTACTCTTGCATTCAAAGCTCTATGTTGGTGGTTCTCAGCTCTGGATGCATATGAAAATAGCACAAGGGACTTTTTCAACATAAGAACAGGATGGGGTTTAGGCATCTGAATAGTATCTTTATTCTCATACCTTATTGAGGATTTGTATGGGTTTAGAACTCTAAAAATACACAAGAAATGATCCTGTTGATTTCTACGGAAATACCCTTTTGTGAATTCAATTGGGATTTGCGAAATAATAAGAAATATACATGTTGGTCTGCCCTCAGTCCCTGGCACAGAGCCCCTGAGACCCTTGTAATTTCCTGAGTGATAGGGGTTGTAGGAGAATCTTTTGTTCTAACGTTTGATCGCTGCCCGGGTTCCTGAGACAGAGCTCCTGATACCCCCTTGTAGATAGGTGGTAGAATCTTTTGTTCTAGTATTTGGACTTTGACCGCAGTTCTTTACACTGAACTCCTAATACCTTTGTAACTTCCTGAGTGATAGGAGCATCTTTTGTCCTAAGGAGGCCACTCTTAGGATATAGACTGTTTGCCAGGGGAGCTAATCATGTGATTGATTAGAGAGTTGGGACTTTAAGCCCCACTCCTTAACCTCCAAGAAGGAAGAGGGGCTGAAGGCAGATCACCAGTGGCCAAAGATATAATCAGTCACCCCTAGGTAATGAAGCCTCTATTAAAAACCCAAAAGGACTAGGTTTGGAGAGCTTCCAGATAGCTGAGCAGGTGGAAGTTCCTGGAGTGTAGCACACCTCGGGAAGGCATGGAAGCTGTGTGCCCCTTCCCGTAAAACACACCCTATGCATCTCCTCCATCTGACTGTTCATCTGTATCTTTTATAATATCCTTCATAAATAAGTGGTTAAATATAGGTGTTTTCCTGAGTTCTGTGAGCCAGTCTAGCAAACTAATCAGTCCAAGGAAGGGTCATGGGAACCGCAATTTTATAGTTCGTTGGTCAGAAGTATAGGTGACAGCCTACTACTTGCTACTGATATCTGAAGTGGGGAGCAGTCTTGCGGGAATGAGCCCTCAGCCTGTGGGATCTGATGCTATCTCCAGGTAAATGGTGTCGGACTTGAATCAGATTATAGACATCCAGCTGTTATCTGCTGGAGAATTGCTTGCTTGGTGTGTGGGGAAATAACTCCCGAGGCATCTGGTGTCAGAGTGAATTGCTGTGTAAGAGAGTAGGAAAAACAGTTTTGTTTTGTTTTGTTTTTCCCCGCCTCCATCTCCTTAGAGGATTGCATTGAATCGCAACGGGATTCTGAGCAGTTTAGAGAAAATTGGCATTTAAATTACACTGAACCTTCCATTTTATGAACATAGTATATCTCTCTAAATCTTTTTTGATTTCTTTCATTTGTATTTTGTAGTTTTCAGCATACAGATCTTGAACATGCTTTTAAAAAATATTATTTAATTATTTATATTTTTGTTGCTGTTGTATTTCCAATAGTCTTCTGCTAGTTTAGAGAAATAAAATTGAATTTTTTATGTTGACCTTACATTCTGCAATGTTGTTAAACTCACTTATTATAGTGTTGTTAGTAGTTCTATAGCTTTCTACATATGATCATATTGCCTGGAATGGACACAGTTTTATTTCTTTACTTCTAATGTGTTTTTTGTTTATTTTTCTTGTCTTATTTCACCAGCTGGGTTCTGCAGTGTGAGGTTGACAAGGAGTGGTGGGAGCAGTCCTCTTGATTTGTTCTTAATCTTAGGGGACAAGCACTCAGTCTTTCTTCACTGAGTATGATGGTCACCATGATTATTTTTAAAGATGCCCATTGTCACATGGAAGAAATTCTCTTTTTTTCCTGAGTTTTCTGAGAGTGTCAGGAATTGATGTTGAATTTTGTCATCTCTGCATCTATTCAAATGGTCGTATCGCCTTTCTCTCTTTTTGGTCTGTTGAGATAGTGAATTATATTGATTGGTTTTCATATGTCAAAATAGCCTTATATTCTTGGGATAAAGCTCCCTGGGTTGTGATTTTTGTCCTTATTTATTTATTTATTTAGAGACGGAGTCTTGCTGTGTCGCCCAGGCTGGAGTGCAGTGGCATGATCTCAGCTCACTGCAACCTCCACTTCCTGGGTTCAAGCAATTCTCCTGCCTCAGCCTCCTGAGTAGCCGGGATTACTGGTGAGCGCCACCACGCCCGGCTAATTTTTGTATTTTTAGTAGAGACAAGGTTTCACCATGTTGGCCAGGATAGTCTCAAACGCCTGACCTCATGATCCGCCCACCTTGGCCTCCCAACGTGTTGCGATTACAGGCGTGAGCCACTGCACCCGGCCTGTCCCTTTTTTTTTTTTTCCTACATTTGATTTGCTCATTTTGTTCAAGATTTTTGTAACTATGTTCATTAGAGATACTGACTTGTTGTCTTTTATTGTAATGTCTTTGTTTTTAGTGTCAGAATAATGCTGGCCTTACCCTTATCCTAAACAAATTAATGCAGGAACAGAAAACCAAATACCGACATGTTCTCATTTATAAGTGGGAGCTAAACATAGGGTACTCATGGACATAAACATGGGAACAGTAGACACAGGGGACTGCTAGAGTGGGGACAGAGGGAGGGGGCAAGGGTTGAAAAACTAACTGTTGAGTACTGTGCTCACTACCTGGGTGATAGGATTATTCATACCCCAAACCTCAGCATCACGCAATATACGCATGTAATAAACCTGCACGTGTATTCCCTCAATCTAAAATAAAAATTGGTCTGGGCATAGTGGCTCATGCCTGTAATCCAAGCACTTTGGGAGGCTAGAGCAGGAGGACCACTTGAGTTTAGGAGTTCGAGACCAGCCTGGGCAACATTATGGGGCCCTGTCTCTACAAATAAATAAATAAATGAATAAAATAAAAGTTGAAATTATTAAAAAAAGAATAATACTGACCTTATAAAAAGAGTTGGGAAGTGTTTCTTCCCTTTTTTTATTACCTGGAAGAGTGAGTAGAAATGCAGTTTTTCTTCTTTAAATGTTTAGAGATCTCCAGTACAGCCTTCAGAATGAGGAGCTTTCTTTTTTGGAAGACTTTAAAATGTAGATTCAATTTGTAATGGATATGGGTCTATTCAGTTTATCTGTTTCTCTTGAGTGAGCTTTGGTGGTTTGTGTTTTTCAAGGAGTAGTCTGTATATATCTAGTTCATTCAAGTTGTTGAATTCATGGACATAAAGGTTTTTAAATAATCTTTATTATTTCTGCAATGTCTGTAGAACCTGTGGTGATATCCCCTCTTAATATTGGTAATTTGTGTCTTCTTTTTTTTCTTAGTCAGTCTGGCAAGAGATTTCTATTGTTATTGATCCATTCAAAGAAGCAGCTTTTGGTTTTATTGATATTTTTCTCTATTTTTCTGTTTTCAGCATCATTAATTTCTGCTCTTATTTATAGTATTTTTCACCTTTTTCTTGTTTTGAGTTTAATTTTCTGTTCTTTTTCTAGTGTCTTAAGTTGGAGGGTTAGATTTGAGAACCTTCTTCTTTTCTAGTATAAGCATTTTTAATACTTACAATGTGAAATTACCCACCATTTCATTCCTCTCTCTAGGCTGTCTTCTTCCCACCCTGGCGGCAACCAGTGTTGTTATTTTCTCAATATCCTGTCACATATAGTTTATACATATGCAAACAAATATATTATTTTTCTCTCTCTTTTTTAACATAGTTGTTAGATAACCTTCTAACAATTATTTTGTTCTATACCTTGCTTTTTTCCCCTTAGTCTGCCTTGCATATGATTCTGTCTTTCATATATAATTTCTTATTCTTTTTGTGATAGCAGTCTTCACTATTAATGGACATTTTGGTTATTTCCAGTCTTTTGCCATTAGAAACATGCTGCAAAAAATGACTATGAATATGCACATTCAAAAACATCATTTTAGGCTTCTCGAGTGTGTAAATTCCATGTGAAAAGAATGGAACAGTTTTCTACCCCCTTTATTTCTCTCCTTTTTCTGTGTTTAGATAATGTGCTGTCTCTTGATAAAGGGCCTACTTGGTATAGAGAGAAAGAAAGAATTACATTAATTCTTCTGCTTGGTCTATCCAAATAACTCCAGGGATATTCAGACTTATTTTCTTAATAATTCCTTTATTAAGTATTAGACCAACATTAATCACTTTATTTTAGTGTATTATTTTTCTATTTAGAGATGAGGTCTGACTGTATTGCCCAGGCTGGTCCCAAACCCCTGGACTTAAGTGATCCTCCTGCTTCAGCCTCCTGAGTAGCTGGTACTACAGGCATGCGCCACAGTTCCCAGATATAATCACTTTAGAAGTCGATAGGATCCTAAGGACGGACTTCTTCTTGAAGGCATTTCCAAGGTGCTGTGCTTTTCCCTCTAGATTATTTTCAAACTCCTCAGCATTGCCAGTACCCTTGGCCCTCTGTATCTGCAGATTCCCATGTGTGGATTCAGACACCCATGGATATGGAGGGCCAACTCTAGAGGGGACTTGAATATCCGTGGATTTTGGTATCTGCAGGGGTCCTGGAAACAATTGCCCATGAATACTGAGGGCTGATTGTATATAATCCTTAGAATGTTATCAGTTCTTGTGCCACTGGTTTCACTTTTACCCACAAGCAGCTTTTTTTTCTTTCTTTTAGTAAGGAATATCAATAAGTCAACAAGTATTTATTTGTACCTATAGTATAGGCAGTGACTCATGTTTTGTTTGTCCTGCTCATCGAATAGTTTAAAATATAGAGTTTGAAAATATCCCTCAGTAA
Organism: Homo sapiens; assembly: GCF_000001405.40. Lineage (NCBI taxonomy): Eukaryota > Metazoa > Chordata > Mammalia > Primates > Hominidae > Homo > Homo sapiens. Next base: position 25,611,220 of record NC_000002.12, on the reverse strand, counting down.
GAGAATGGATAAAATGCAGTATATTCATACAACAGAATGCTGCATAGCAGGATGAACTAATATATGTAACAACATAAAAAATCTTGTAGATATTTTGTTGAGTGAAAGAAGCCAGACACAAAAGAGTGCATACTGTAAGATTCCATTTGTATGAAGTTCAATTGCTGCCAAATCTGACCTATGATACTAGAAGTCAGGATAGATGTTACTGGGCTGGGTGCAGTGGCTCACGCCTGCAATCCCAGCACTTTGGGAGGCCGAGGTGGGTGGATCACCTGAAGTCAGGAGTTCTAAACCAGCCTGGCCAACATCGTGAAACCCTGTATCTACTAAAAATAAAAAGATTATCTGGGCATGGTGGTGTGCACCTGTAATCCCAGCTACTCGGGAGGCTAAGGCACGAGAATCACTTGAACCCAAGAGGTGGAAGTTACAGTGAGCCAAGATCACACCACTGCACTCCAGCCTGGGCAACAGAGAGAGATTCTGTCTCAAAAAAAAAAAAGGATAGAAGTTACCACGGTGGGAAGTGGGTTTAGGAAAGAGGTGCTTCTGGGTGCTAGTAATGTTCTGTCTTTTGACCTGAGTGCTGGTTAGTTACCTGGGTATTTATTTTGTGAAAGTTCATTCAGTGAACTTTAAATGTTCATGAGGGAACATTTTGTGAAAGTTCATTCATGAATTATGCACTTTTCTATAGGTTCATTATACTTTAATGAAAAGTTAAAAAGGATACCATACAGAATTAACTAAAGGCATAATCGTTGATCATGGTTAGAGCTTAAAATTATATAAAACCAGAGAGATTACTTACTTTTTCCTGGCACATATACTCTCTCTCTCTTTAAAGTGATCATTTAAAAAGTAATCAATTATGAAAGTGATAAATATTACATTACAAAATAAAAGGAAGTGTAGCTAAACTATTTCTTTAAAAATCTTTCAAGCCAGGTGTGGTGGCATGTGCCTGTGGTCCCAGCTACTCAGGAGGCGAAGGTGGGAGGATTGTTTGAGCCCAGGAGGTTGAGGCTGCAGTGTGCTGTGATCACGCCACTGTATTTCAGCCTGGGCGACAGAGGGAGACCCTGTCTCAAAACAAAACAAGACAACAACAAAAAAAATATAGTTCACCTAAGTCAGACTTCACACTGCTTAGACTGAGGACAGTCTTTGGAAACAGTAACTTATGACATCTACAAAATTTATCTCATTATTTTTGAGATTTCTGTTCCTTTTATTATTAATTAAGGTCAGTGTCTTTTCATGCACTTAATAGTCATTTGTATTTCTTCCATGTCTATTTTGTGTATGTGAATGCAGCTTCCCTTTTTCTCTTGTGTCTTTTTTTCTTTTCTTTTTATAAAGTTGATTTGTTTTGGGTCAGTGGTTCTCAATTCTGGCTGTTTTGAATCACTTGGGGAACTCCTAAGAATTACCAGTGTCAACGCCCCACCCTAGGCCAAATAATTAGGATCTCTAAGGGTTGGGCCTAAGCCTTGGTATTTTTAATTTTGTGTGTGTGTGTGTGTGTGTGTGTGTGTGTGTGTGTGTGTGTGTGTGTGTACATTCTATTATGGAAATGTTTATGCATAGCAACATATATAACAAGTTTTTTTTTTTTTTTTGAAAGAGTTTCGCTCTTGTTGCCCAGGCAACAAGAGATGATGCTATCTCAGCTCACTGCAACCTCCGCCTCCTGGGTTCAAGCAATTTTCCTGCCTCAGCCTTCTGAGTAGCTGGGATTACAGGCATGCGCCACCACACCTGGCTAATTTTGTATTTTTAGTAGAGACGGAGTTTCTTCATGTTGGTCAGGCTGGTCTTGAACTCCCGACCTCAGGTGATCTGCCTGCCTCGGCCTCCCAAAGTGCTGGGATTACAGGCGTGAGCCACTGTACCCGGCCCATCAGGCATTCTTAATCCCACTCTGGACTTCAGCAATAGTTTCTTTTGTTGCTTCATCTTTGTGGGCCACTTTACTTCAGGTTAGAAGCTGTATCCATCAGAGTTCTTAGTTGTAAGTAATAGATACCATCTCTGGCTAATTAATTAAAAGGGTGACCCACAGATTCTGTAAGTAGGTTGGGAAAGTAGGCTTGAAAACTACACTGCTAGGAACATAGTGCAAAATGATTGCACAGAACTCTCATGAAGACACCTCTCTGGCCACAGACCTTGCTGCTTGTGCTCCAAACACCACTGATGCTGGGCTCTGGGTGCTGCCCCAAGAATCATTATCTCTGCTGCCCCAGAACACTGAATGTAGCTGCCCCTACTGCTGCCATCCCCACTAGGTGGATTCTTCTGGAGTTCCTGCTTCTCCAAGTTAATATTTACCCCCTTGAAATCTAGCATAGTGCATTTTATTGGTGGAGCTCTGTTATGTGCCCCTATCCTAGTTTCAGAGAAAGATGAGAAAGCAAATATATGTTTTTTTTTCCTTCTTTGTACTTTAGTAGTGGAAAGTCTACTTGTCCCATAAGGTAGGGTGTGCTTAAATGTAGACTCAGCTTTCAAGTGCTTGGTGTCAAAAAAGAAAGTCCACTGTAAAAGCTCTGTATCAGTCTTAGAAACCCATTCCTTTTAACCTAATGATCTATCTTATAACCACTAGCTTTTCTTACATAATGCAGTAGATATTTGATGCAGGAATATGCCTTATTTATGGGTGCCATATTGCTTTGTACATGGAGCTGTATCTTTATTTCTGAAGAACAATATATTTTAAAAACCCCATTCTAATTTTAGCTAGTTGCAGTCATTCCTATTTTGTTTTATGAATAAACTCAAGGAGATGTTATAGTTAAAAGCTCAACTGTAACAAATATTGATATTTCCTGGTGGTGTTTTCACAGATAATTTTCTAGCGTATAGGCTATTTGCCTTTTTTCAGGTGTGATCTTTCTGTATATAAAGACAGTGTGGAAAATGGGAAACACTGTATTAGAACCATTGTGGATATAAATAGGATGATACATTCTTTTTCTAAACAAAGAAGGTATAGCTCTCATTATTGCAAAAGTGTTTTACTCTAAGTTACAATGAAACATTGTGAACACAAGCTTTTAAAAATTAACACAAAAAGCACATTCTTGGCTTACCTGTGATAACTTTAACAACCAACTAGTGAAGTTTTTATCTGCTGTGAAACCAGGGCATAGTTGAGTGAATGAAGCCGTGGACACTTTGGGTCAGGGGCCTCGGTGATATTGTCTTGGTTCTGCTGGTGGTGTGCAGCATTACCTTAGGTGATTCATTTATGTTCTTCTACATTTCGTCTTTCCAGTTCCTAAAGAAGAATTAATGTTACTATCCCTTCCTCTTCACTTTTCTTACAGTGGTGTATTAGAAGATCTGAGACAGGTGTGATTGAGCTTCTTAGAATAAACACGTGGTAACATAAAGGTTGTTACAGTAAAAACAAAGATGAATGTACTATAAAATCTTCATAGTAAGATGCACCCTGTTGTTTAGTATGTAACAAGAAACCATTGTTGTAATATCCTGATGTAAGGTTATGTTTCTGAATTATATTCAAACCAGGTGGCCCCTCAGTTTTGAATACTTAAGAACTACAGCTGTGGATTTAATGGGTTTAATTAATAGGAAATTCACTTCAGGTTCATCCATTTGACCTCTGCTACATAGCCAACAGAAATTACATAGAATGTTTCTAAAACTTCCAGAAAATTCAGGCTAGCTTTAGCATTCTTCACCTAGCATAGGTGAAGTCTTAATTCTACAAATGAAAAAAAAAAAATCCAGGGTTTCTAAATGTGGTAAAATTGTAACAGACAAGGTCAGGAATCAACTTACTGGGTTGCTCAGTATTTAGTGATACATTCGAGTCCTTTTGTGGTTTCAGATAGCAATTATTTCTAATATAATTTATTTTGCAGTGAGGGCCGAGGCAAGTTGACGGTATTTTCAGTTAAAGCTATGTTAGCAACCATGTGTGGTGGAAAAATGCTGGACAAATTGAGATGTAAGTATTTTCATATTATTTGAAAAATGCCATTTTCAAATTAGGACTTTTAAATGAATATTGTCAGAATTTTGAATGATGTTATATTGAGCTTTTAAAAAAATTACCATGTCACTCACGCTGCAGCAGCTGGCTCACAGTAGGTGAGTTATGCCACCTACTGTTCAGATGGAAAAGTTGGTTAATTTAATTTATTGTTAGTCCTTTTTAGTGAGAAAATGGAAAAGACTCAGAATCATAATGCTGACATTTAAAAACTTATTTTAGAAATGTTTTCCACATTATTAAAATTATGCTTGAAAATGATTATATTGAGAACTTTTAGTTAAAGTAAATTTGATTGCTTTTACTGAGTTCGGTCTGGTTTAGCTCTTAATAACTCCATTCTTCATCAGGTGATGTTTGCTGTGATTACATTATTCCTTACTACTCTAGAGTCAGCCACAGTTATTTAGAAGCTGATGACCTGTTTTTTTAAAAAAATTCCTGTTATCTTTGCTAATTTTTTTTTAACCATTAGTCATTTTGGCATTTTACCATTCATTAGATACTATAAGAAGGTGATTAGATGAAATCAAAAGAGATGAAATTCACAACTATTTAATTTTGCTGCTTATGGTTTTTATTTATTCAGTTATTAGTTATTAACTCCCTAAGATATGCCAAGAATTGTGCTAGGTGCTTTACATGTATTTTCTCATGGAATCCTTAAAATTCCTTTGAGCAGCAGGTGATATTTTCTTCATTTTATCGATGAGTTAACCAAGGGGGCAAAGCTGGGGTTTTAACTCAGATGTCAGAGCCCTGTTCTGAGCTATGTGATTGTGCTCCCCTGTGCTAGTGCTGTAGCAGGAGACACACGTGTAATTTCAGTACAGTGTTCAGAGTGCCATAAAGCAGTAGCCACAGAGTAGGAAACTGGATGCCAGCTTTCAAGGGATGAGACTGAAGTCTTAATGAGGTAGTGTGGTAGTGTGGTACCCTGTGAGCCCGGATTTGGATGACTGAGTCCTTGCAATATTCCTCCATGCCCTTTTTTTTTTTAAATTGAAAGATACAGAGGTTTGATCAGATTCAAGTATTAATACAAGTTTTTCGGCAAGATTACTTCATAGGTGTATTTGTTTTTTGTGCTTTTTCTTACTTTACCATGACACTGAAAGTTGGAAAGCTAGATGGCCCATTAGATATAGATTTAGATATTCCAAAGAAAGATCTTAATGTATTTGGTCAACTGTTATCCAGTTTATCTTCATTTCAAAGTTAGCTGCAATATAGAACATGTTTTTGGTAATAAGAATTATGGTTTTATTTAAATATTCTTCTGAGGTTTTTCACATGGTATATCCCAAAATATTCTTTGGGCTGAAATTCCTTTTATATTTTTGTAAAATATAAAAATATGTTTTTCTGAGGAAGATAATATGTATGAAAGTATATTTCATCAAACACAAAGAAAAGTTGTAGTCTTGTCTAATTTTTAATGATGCTGATACCAGATAAAGAATATATATACCATCTTTATTAATATTGGGGAGACTGGTTGAAAAATACAGTAGTAGAAAAATACATTAGCAGAAAATTAACTGTATTCTAGATGACTCTGGAATCTTTAAATTTCTTTAAAGTCTACTATATTTACATAGAGCCAGCTCACCTGGCATATGGTAAATACTTAAAATTTTGTCAAATGTAAATTGTTGATTGAATAATAAAATTACTCCAGTTCTGCGTTATAACTGTTAGTGAAAAGGCGCAAATTCTAGTTCTCGGTTTGGAAGGGATCCAGGTGATAGCAGTTTTTTTGATGTGGCTTCTGAACTTTTTGGAGGAACACGAAGTGACCAAGATTGAAGTGGTGCAAAAGCCCACGGGCCAAGCCAAAGGTGACATGTCAGCATGCTCAGGACCCCAAGTCATTGCAATAGTGTTTGGATGGCTGTGATACAGACTGTGCTGGGTTACCAATCACTGTGTTTATCTGATTCAAGTAGATTTCAAGTGTGGTTTATCTTTTCCTTGCTAAAAATTATAGTTTCTCTGCTAGTTGTAGGTCTGTTTCATTATTTTTGTTGTACTGTAATTATCTTGGCTTGGGCTTGAGATGTTCAACATAAGTAAAATACTTGGGTAGGGAAGCCTATCTCTACTTTTTAATCTTCCAAGGTGGAAAACACTTTAAAATGTGGCTTGCCCCTTCCATTTTAAACAGAACTTGGCTGGGTGCAGTGGCTCATGCCTGTCATCCCAGCACTTTGGGAGGCTGAGGTGGGAGGATCACTTGAGGCCAGGAGTTTGAGACCAGCCTGGGCAACGTAGTGAGACTGTGTATCTATAAAAGCAATTTTAAGGCCGGGTGCAGTGGCTCCCGCCTGTAATCCCAGCACTTTGGGAGGTTGGGGTGGATCACCTGAGGCCAGGAGTTTGAGACCAGCCTGGCCAACATGGTGAAACCTTGTCTCTACTAAAAATACAAAAATTAGCTGGGCATGGTGGCACATGCCTATAATCCCAGCTACTCGGGAGGCTGAGGCAGAATTGCTTGAGCCCAGGAGATGGAGGTTGTAGTGAGCCAAGAGCATGCCACTGCACTCTAGCCTGGCCGACGGAGTGAGACTGTCTCAAAAAAATAAATAAATAAAAATAAAAGTAATTTAAAAAGTTAGTTTGGCATGGCAGTACATACCTGAGGTCCCAGCTCCTCAGGAAGCTGAGCCAGGAGGATCACTTGAGGCTAGAAGTTCGAGGCTGCAGTGAGCTATGGTCATGTCACTGCACTGCAGCCTGGGTAGTGGAGTGAGACTGTCTCAAGAAAAGAAAGAGAGAGAGAGAGAGAAAGAAGGGAGAGAGAGAAAAAAAAGAAAAGAAAGAAACGAGAACTCACTGATTATACTTTTAACATTTTCATCTCTTAAGGATGCCATTTTCTGATGCATTTAGGATTTAGGGCTGATTGTGAAGCTTGGTTTGTCTACTCCTCCTATTTTGAGACTATTATGCTTTTTCAGTTCTTGAGTTTTTTGTTGTTGTTGGTGGTGGTGGTGGTGGTGGCGGCAGTGGTTTGTGTATGTCCTTTATCACTGGCAAATATGATGTTATGTGTTTTTGGTGCTCCACTCTCTGGAAATCTCTCCTTGCTTCTGACTTACTACTTTTAATATGCTACGGACAGAGAAGTAATAACCAAACCTCTTAGCATTCTATTTAAAATAAGGATTTAAAGTGATTGTTATGAGAGAAGCACTTGAGCTTGTGTAGTATGATTGTTAGCTTTGGCTATTTTCAGAACCTTTCCCTCCTTGTTTTCTGGTTCTCAGCAATGTCCTACTTAGTTGAGGTGGCTGAATAATTGTGCAGCCAAAAGAGAGAAGTAACACTGTATTGTAACAGCAAATGATCTTTGATTGTTTATTCACTTTCTCATACCTAATTATTCCATTGTTTTGGTTCTTCTTGTTTGCTCCAACCTCCTTCTACTGACTGGACTCTCTGTTGTTACCTCTATTAATGCTCCTGTTATATTAAGTTTTCTCATTTATGGAATGTTTTAGCATTTCTACTTTTTTTTTTCTGCTTTGATCTTCCTGCTTTTTACTTTCTTAGAATTTTTCCTATGATTTTCTCCTCTCTACCTTTTTTATTTGACATGGGGTTTTTGGTTTTAGTATCAAGATAGCATTTGAATGACTGAACAAATATTTGTACTTTCTGTTTAAAACATTTCTTAGATTTTTCAGATTTGTCTTAAGAGAGTTTCTGTCTCCAGGTAGCATTCATTTACAGAGATGGTTCATTGTTGTGGCCATTAGAGACTATGTCCTAGATTCGGAGGTAACTTTTATCAGGATTCTAAATACCAATGATTTATAATCGGAATATGGACTTTAATTAAAAGCACAATCAAAATTCAGTAATGTCAGAAACCCAAAATATAACTCAAGGAAACAAAATTTGTAGACTGTAAAGCCCATTATGTATTAAAACATGCTTAATTATCAATTAATTTGACTGTGCAATTTATTTACTTTAATTCTGCTATTTGTTTTCGAAGAAATTTAGTCTCCTTATTCAAATTGCATCTGGTTGCACTAAAAGGAGCAAAAGATTCATAAATTTATTTTAAAATTCGTTAAAAAGCTGGTGCTACTATTTTGAAAGGCAGTTCAACAATATGTATCAGGAAGGCTTTAAAAAGATTCATATTCATTCACTCAGTCTACTTCTTGAGTTTATCCTAAGGAATTAATCAGAAGTGTACCCCAAGTTTTTTGTATATTGCAACACTTATATGAAAACTGGAAACATCTTTAGTGTCCAAAAGTGAGAACTCAGTTAAATTTTGGGACACCCACATGATTGAATATAATGCCTTTAAAAATAGGTTTTAGATCAAAATGCATAAGTGTAATGTAGTTTTAAACAAAAATTTGCTGTGCACATAGAAAATAAGAAATATACCAAAATAATAACAGGGGTTTTTCTCTGGGTTCTAACACAATGGTTTTATAATAATAATTTATATTATTTATCTTTTTGCATGTTTTTGATAGACCACACTATCAGCAGTCAGAGAAAAGATGACCTGAGATTCTTTCTGTTTTGGTCAGAATTGACTATTCCTACTGATGTTTCAACTGTTTGCTTCCTTCATGTTTCATTAGCAGACTGTAGAAGGGCCTCCCTTTGAAGTTACAGTTAAACAGTTTCACCTGTTCAGATTTTAGACTCCTCTGCTGTAGTTTTTTAACCACCCATGGCTGCATAATTATCCTCACTGGTTTCTGTTAACCATCCCTTCTCCTCAGTAGATGGAAGTGACTGTTTAATCTAAATGAGTGATGGCTAGATTTACATTTTTCAGATAACCAAAATGTTTTAGAAATGGAAGGAAGTAAAAGATAAGCCTTAAATATGTATTTTATGAATAAGGGGAAAAAAAGAAGAAAAAGGAAAACAAAAACCAAAGGAGGTCTGGAGCCTTGTCTCAGGTGGTTCCTGGCTGAGTCAACACCAGAAGCCCAAGGCATGCAGACTCCCACCCTCCAGCCTCATTGCAGCTTAATGATGTGGCATATTAATAAGTTTCTTTTTTTTTTCTTTTTTCTTTTTCTTTTGAGATGGAGTCTTGCTCTGTTGCCCAGGCTGGAGTGCAGTGGTGTGATCTCGGCTCACCGCAGCTTCCACCTCCCGGGTTCAAGTGATTCTCCTGCCTCAGCTTCCCAAGTAGCTGGGACTACAGGCGTGTGCCACCATGCCTGACTAATTTTTGTATTTTCAGTAGAGGCCGGGTTTCCCCATGTTGGACAGGCTGGTCTTGAACTCCTGACCTCAGGTGATCCACCTGCCTTGGCCTCCCCAAGTGTTAGAATTACAGGCATGAGCCACCGCACCCCGCCAGTGGCATATTAATGAGTTTCGAACTACAGTATGCACTCGGGCCTAGTTGTGTTTAGGTATTTATCAACATACAGATGTGTGTGCATGGTTTTGTGGGTTAGGTTGCTGAGCTGGTAGAAAGATGACAGGCGATGAGAGTCATTTGCCAGGGAAAGCAAACATGTAAAAGAAAATGGCTTTCTGTTTATAGACTCATTTCTTCAGTCTAAACAGCCCTTTCATCTGCAAAAAAAATAGGTGGCTAGTCATGTGGGGATGAAAGGGGAGTTGAAATAGATGGATAGATCCAGCCAGTAAAACTAGGGTCATTATCACCAGGAAAAAATCAAGACATATGTGATGATGGTGGCTCACTAGCATTTTTTTGCTTATTACACAAAAGATATTATAGAATATTTTAAAAATTGCATACACATGTACATTTAAGGGCTTGATTGTGGGTTTTTCACAAGGGAGAAAGCTTCCTTTTTAGCTGGAAATAACTGTTAGGGAATTAGCATACTTTCAGAGGTGTATAAATAGAAAGAGAATTACTTGGGAAATTAACTGGGGATGTGGGAAGTAATTTAGTCCCTTAATACCAGGAGGGTTTAGGGCTTTATTTAATTAGAGTACTAGTTTAATTTTTAAAATATTTTCATTAAATTTTATTATTTTATTCACTTCTTTGATAAGATCCTTTTATATGTACATAGGTAAATCACAATAACTTAGGTTGATTGTTAAACTTCATTTAAGATTTAAGAATTAGCAATCATTTTTAAATTGTTTTTCTTAGAGATAAAAGCCTATTCACAAAAAAATTGTTTTAAACCCATAACTCAAGAAGTAATGAATTATTTCACTGTGCCTTCAGTTTTGGGGTCTAGCAGTATGTCTCATTAAAGCAAATAGACATGTTTCCACTTCTCTTATTGTAATATAGGCCTGTTATAGTTTCTTATGAATAAAAAATTTTGTATTACTTTGAATCTATTCATATGACGTAGTAACTAAGTATAACTGAAATAATACTTTTTTGTGGGAGTGGTTAGTCATTTTACTATCCAGTCACTCCTTTTTATTACTCTGAATGAGTTAGGTATAGATTCGTTGGTGTGGGTGTATACCTACACATTTTTGTGATTGTGAAGCTATACATATATATATTAATGTACTTGAAAGCTAAAGTCACTGGTCCTGAATATTTCCACCACTAGTGGCCACAGGTTAATTACTCATTAGTTAATTAGTTATGAATACACAGAGTGGCGATAGAAAACTTGACTGAGAGTGGCTTAAGCAGATTGGGATTTATTTTTCTCATGTAAAAATAAGTCCAAACGCTGAGAAGTTCAAAGTTGGTACCCTGACTTATGGCTGTCCTCACAGACTTCACTTCTTCCCGTCTTTCTTCTGCCATATGGCCTTCGTCCTTAGGATCAAAAGATGTTTGCCATATCCCAGGCCTCTGTACTTACTCCAGGCAGAAGGAAGAAAGAGTTGCCTCTATGAAGAAAGCAAAGGGTTTTCCAGACATCTACTCCAGCATTGCAATGTGCAAAGGAGGCTGAGAAGTCATTCGTTAAGTGGCACATAGTCATTCCCAGCAGTCGGGCTCAGCTAGTGAGCGAGAAGGGGAAGAAGATACTGAGGCACCTGGCAGTGTCTGCCACCTCCCATGTTGACCCTTTGTTTTCATTCAGATTCAATGAACGATTATTTTCCTCCTTGTAAGACTAGCAGCTATTTATTTATTTTTGAGATAGGGTCTTGCTCTGTTACCCAGGCTGGAGTGTAGTGGTATGATCAGAGCTCACTGCAGCCCCCAACTTCTGCACTCAAGCGGTCCTCCCCCTTCAGTCTCCTGAGTAGCTGGGAGTACAGGCACCTGCCACCATGCCTAGCTAATTTTTTTTATTTTTTGTAGAGACAAGGTCCTGCTATCTTGCCCAGGCTGGCCTTGAACTCCTGGGCTCAAGCGATTCTCCTCTGCCTGGGCCTCCCAAAGTTCTGGGATTACAGGTGTGAGCCACCACGCCTGACCAGCAGCCAGCTATTTAAAGGTTAAATCATTTATGTTCTTCCCTCCTTTGAAGAGCATCATTTATTCATATCATTGGTAACATTTTCAAAGTTCTCTATCTGCAGTCTAGAACTGTGGTCAAATATTGTTTCTAACTGTCTGCATGGTAGTTCCACTTAAAAATTTGCTAGTTTGGGCCAGACACTGTGGCTCACACTTGTAATCCCAGCACTTTGGGAAGCCGAGGCGTGCATCACGAGATCAGGAGATTGAGACCATCCTGGCTAACACGGTGAAACCCCGTCTCTACTAAAAATACAAAAAATTAGCTGGGCATGGTGGCGGGCGCCTGTAGTCCCAGCTACTCAGGAGGCTGAGGCAGGAGAATGGTGTGAACCCAGGAGGTGGAGCTTGCAGTGAGCCAAGATCACACCACTGCACTCCAGCCTGGGCAACAAAGTGAGACCCCGTCTAAAAAAAAAAAAAATTGCTAGTTAGTTCAAACAGTAATGTTCAAAGCTAAGTGTAATATCTTTATCTTTGATTTGCTTATGTCAATCAGGATTTGTCATCATTTCCCCAAACTAGAAACTTAAAATAATCCTAACTTTTAAACTTCCTTTATTCCGTAATCTAGTTTGCCATCAACTGCAGTTCCTTGCATTGAAATGCCTTGGACTTGGCCTCCCCTGTCCCCGCACACACTGTCACTGCTGTAATCCAGGCTCCCCCACAACCTCCTTTGTGCATTGTTTACAAGGTTTCCTAGCTGGTGTCTCCAATTCCATTCTTTTTCTTTTATTCATTGTGTGCCGGTCATTAACAGTCTAATTGCCTTGAAACCTAGCTTTCTAAAAATTTGATCTCTACTTAAAAGTTTTTAAGCTAAATCCAGATTGCTTCCCTCTTTCATCGTTTTCTTTTATAACAGAAATACTCTTCCTATTCAGTCTTTATTTTTCTTTTTTTCTCACTATAAATTGGCTGTTGTAGAATTTTTTCTTCAATACCCTGTTTCCTGCTTATCACCGGTAAGAGATACAGGCTGCATGCTCCTGTCATAGACTTTTATCCTACTCTTCTTTAGTGCCCCCCAGTCCCTATCCTCAACCTGTTTTGACCCCATCATTCCAGATCCTCTCTTTCAAGGCCTAGCTTCCAAATGTCTTTATTTTAGAACTTGACAATTCCTGCTTATGTGTTTTTGTATCTATTCTAAATTATATTTTGAAGGAGTGTGGTGTAATGGTATTTATTTTGGAGTCAGATAGGTGTGGTTTTAAACTTGATTTGGCCTCTGAACTTTTTGACCTTAAGCAAGTTAACCTTTCTAAGCTGTAATAGTAGAGTAATGCTTAGTGTTAGAGTTTGTTGCATGAGAGCAAAAACCCGGAATAACAGTATCGTAAACAAAGTTGAGGTTTAATTTTCTCTCACATAAAAGAAGTCCAGAGGTGGGTAGTCCAGGGCCAGTATGGTAACTTCATGTTCATCTGGGATTCACACTTTGTCTTTTTTTTCCCCTACCATTCTAGAGTGATTTCTATATCAAGATTGAGATTACCACATAGTGCAAGATGGCAGCTGGAGCTCCAGCTATCATAGCTGCACTCCAGGTAGAAGAAGGAGGAAGGGAATAAGGAACAAGTGGCCTGCTTTTTTGGCTCAGTTAGGTTTGTTTACCTAGTCTTCTGGAAGTCCCCTACAACCCTTCTGCTTACAAGCTCATTTTAGCTAGAAGTTAGTCACATGACCGCTACTTGCTGGGAACTTGCAACTTGTTAGTTGGTACATTACTGCACAAAATAAAATTAGTGTTCTGTTACTAAGGAAGAAGAGGATAATGTGGCTACTGGCAGCTCAGCATAGTTAACTGAAGTGGCGCCTAGCACATGGTGGGGCTTATCATGTATCTTTTTGCCTCTGTTTTTTCTGTTGTCAGCTCAAATTCTTCTCTGTTTCATGTGTATCTTATTTTTCCAGCTACATTGAAAGTTTCTTGGGGGATAAGGACCATTTGTCATCTTTCTCTGTTATGGTTCTAAACACCTAACAGAGCGCTTGCACTTGGACCACATAATAGGAACTTAATATGTATTTGTTAATTAATTTATTTTACTTTCTACTAGGGTCATCTTTTAGTCTCTTGCTGGATTTTTTCCCCCATATGGGTATTTAATACTTTTCCATCAACTGTAAACTAGCAGCTGTCATGAGAGGACACACTGAAGATTTTCATTCCTTTGGTAATTTCTTCTTTTCTAATGCCTTAAAAATTGCCCTGTGGATCAATAACCTAACATTTTATCTTTCTTTAATTAGTGTATTCAGAAATTTTTTTTGACCTGATGCTTCAGTATAAATTCCCCAAAATTGAATCCAAAAAGTAATGCATGTATGTATATTACATATGTCTGTTAAATAGGTATAGATCTCTACTATACCTCTTCACTGTGAATATATAGAATATGAATTTTCTTTTCTTTTTTTTTTTGGAGACAAGGTCTCACTCTGTCACCCAGGCTGGAGTGCAGTGGTGTGATCATGGCATCACGGCTCACTGTAGTCTTGACCTCCTGGGCTCAAGCAGTCCTCCCACCCCAGCCTCCCAAGTAGCTGGGAGTACAGGTGCACACCACTATGCCTGGCTAATTTTTAAATTTCTTTTGTAGGGATGAGGTCTCACTATGTTGCCCAGGCTGGATGAATCTTCAAAATGCTATGTTTGAAAAGTCCTCAGGAAATGATTTTTCTGTGCATATTTGACTTACTAATGTTTGTAAGGAAGTTCAACAGATTGAAAAACTGCCTACGTCACATTTCTTTGTTAAATTCTTTTGACTTCTGGTTTTCTTTTACTCCCCAACTGTGGATGAGAAGAGAGGAATGATTGGAGACAGGAACTCCCTGCAAGCAGATAAAGTTGGAGTAATATTACTGGAAGATTCTTTCTCATCTGCTTGACCTGACTTAATATAAAAATAGGGTCTTACAGTATCAAAGTGTCTTGGAATAGAAGACTTTAGATGAGTTACTTTTATTCTGCTTTGGAACTCATTAGATAAATATTTTAAATATGCTCTATGGCTCCTTCAGATGTGTTCTTTCACAGGCATGCATTACATCATCAGTATAGAATATACAAGTATAATACAATTTCTTTCATACCCTATCACCAAGATGCTAATGTATTTATATACTCAATCATGCATATGTCTTATATAAACACATGTGGAGATACTAAGAGATAAAGATATGCTGCTGCAAATTCTTCTTGGAACAAAGTGAGGTATAAATAAATAAAAGTTATATATCATCTAGTTTTAAACACTCAAAAGTAGGATAGTCACACATGAATGGTTATTTGATGTTTAAGTAGAATATTAAGTGAGTGGAAGAGAGGGGCCTCATCTGCAGGGTAGCCACACAGTGTTAATAAGGATGAGAATAGTTTTAATATTAACTAAAAGTCACAATAATTTTATGATACTTTTTTAATGATACTTTTTGTTTGGTATACAAATGACATAGAGCCATTTATAAAAAGCTGATATTTCCTTATAGCTTGACTTTATTTGGTTTTGTTCTCATAGATGTTTTCTCCCAGATGTCAGATTCCAATGGCTTAATGATATTTAGCAAGTTTGACCAGTTTCTGAAGGAAGTTCTGAAGCTCCCAACAGCTGTCTTTGAAGGGCCATCTTTTGGTTACACAGAGCACTCAGTCCGCACCTGTTTTCCACAGCAGGTAAGGACAGTTTTATAGAATCTAGGGCTAGAAGAGCGCTCTTCCCTCCCTTCACCTTCTAACAGATTTTGCCAGATTGCTTCCAGTCTAGTAAGGTCTTGAGTAGGGGAGGAAAAAAGCTTTAAAGGTGGTGGGGAGTGGATGAATAAAAGCGGGGGGTAAAAATTCACCTGAAAACTCTTACGGGGGAACTGGGGGTGGGGGGGTGGTGTCTTTGGAAAAAAATGAAATATTTTAAAGAAAAATGTTTAAGAACAAGTGTGTACATTTTTGCTACAGGACATATATTACTTTTTCAAATGAGTTCTTGAAACCATGAGATGAGGGAATTTTGATATAAAACTGTAACAATACTGCATTGTTTCCTGAGTGCTGGAGACAGGGAACGCTGTATAGCTCTCACTCGCCAGCATAAAATCCCTCAAGGGTACACTACCATTTTCATATTAGAAAAAGATGGATTTGATTTCCTTCTGGTGGTCTTGACAGAGAGGCTGGAATGAGTGTGTTTCTGAGATCTTAACCATGCTTCAGAGAACCGTCTACACCTAACAAATGGTTGCTACAGCCAGCGTCCATGCCTCAGCCACAGGATAGACACTGGCTGCAGCGTCCATTTGTTAACGTAGAGATTAGATAAAAGAAGCTTAATGTTAAACTTACCTAGAAAGTTCTGTAAAGGAATTAAAAAACGTTTTGCTAAAACTAATAGGTAAAAAATTAATGGAAACAGGATATTGACATATTCTAAAAGTATCTCCCCATAAGATATTTATTAATTACAAAAAGAACATAGTAAATTTACAATGGAGAAACTGATCAGATATCACTTTACCAAGTGATCAAAATCCCTATCACCACTAAAGGGATAAACTGATACCGCCTGCCTCCTGATAGGACGCATTGAGAAGTACTCAATATCACTTCTCCGGTAACTCCTGCCAAGAAAGCATAACCTGAATCTCATCCCAAGGAAACATCAGACAAACTCCAATGAAGGAATTTCTACAACCTAACTGAACTTTACACTTCAAAAGTGTCAATAATATGAAAGATTAAAAAAGATGAAATGTTCTAGGTTAAAAGAGTTTAAAGAGACATGAAAAGCTGAATGAACTCACAAGCCAGGATTTTCTGTTGCTATAACGGACGTTATTGGGACAATTGGAAAAATCTGAATAAAGTTTATAGACTGGATCATAGTATTATGTCAATGAATGTTAACTTCCTGATTTTGATATTTGTACGTAATTATTTAAGAGCATGTCCTGTTTTTTAAAACAATTGAACTATTTAAGGATAAAGGAGCATCCTTCTGCAGTGTTAACATTTGAGGAATCTTGGTTAAGGGAAAATGGGAATTTTTTGGTAATCTTAGAACCTTTTTGTAAGTCTGAAAATTATTTAAAGATAAAAAGGTAAACTATAAAAGGAACACATCTAAAAGTTTGAGAACTGAAAGGATGTTGTAAACTAGATTCTCCTGACCTGTG
Source organism: Homo sapiens (assembly GCF_000001405.40). Classification (NCBI taxonomy): domain Eukaryota; kingdom Metazoa; phylum Chordata; class Mammalia; order Primates; family Hominidae; genus Homo; species Homo sapiens. Next base: position 25,594,592 of record NC_000002.12, on the reverse strand, counting down.
ATACTCTGATTCAAAAACGAATGAAAAACACATGCACACATGGCCCCTCCCCACCTACATACTTCTTTACATTTAAAGTTAAGAATTCATGGTTATTTGAATTCAGACTTTCAAATAGTATTTAGTTTGTTTAGAGGTTATTCAGCTTTAGCACTGAAGGTGGTACCCATGATAATGGAGAATTATTTTTAGTAACATCTGAGGAGATATTCTTCCCAAATTTGTGCACACTTTGCCTGACTGGTTTTGTGCAGATTTGCCTCTATGCACTATTTATTTTTTCTTTCAGCATAAATGGCAATCAGCATCAGCTTTTAGCATATTAAAAATATCTCCATGCTTCGTTCTAATGAAACATAGTTCACATTTTCCCCCCCGAATATGCATTTTCAAATGATGTGAGGTTGTCTGAACATAATCCTGGTACAAGAGTGTCCTTCAGGTGTTAACGTGCCCTTCAGGGACGTAAGTGAAGATGAGTATGATGAAGTCACAGCTCTTCTGCATTTTTTATCTGGAGCCCGTCTCACTGCTGCTCCTGCTGCTGCCTTGGAGGTATCATCACCTTCCATGGTGGCCCACACAATACTCTGGGGTAATCTTGTGTATGGTGTATACATGGCTTTTCACACAAGATGCTTCCTGGAGGTCAGGCTAAAAATGGATCAAGTTCTGGAATGGTACTCTTAAGCAAAATGGTATTGGAATGGGGAAGGGAATTTGTACAAAGAACTCTCAGTGATGAACACTGAGAAATGGATGACAGTTATGTGGGGTATAAACCTAATCTTTAATTTAATTGCAACGTTAGTATTCCGATGAGAATCTGGTGTTGGAATAACAGTTTAAAATGTTGAAGAAATTTTTAAAAGTGCAGTTGTTAATTCTAAGAATGCTATCTAGGATTCTGCAAATTAACCTTATGACATACATAATTGTGAGGGCTTTGAACTCACAACCTGATCATTACTTTTTACCTGCTTCATTCATATTCCTGTAAAAAAAAATCAATCTGCATTTTTGTATATGTCAAATTTGGAAAAGAGAAGTTTATCTCAGTCCATGAAAATGTTAAAAAAGAAAAAACCCTCAGGGGAAATAGAAATCACTCATAGAATATACTGATATATTGACCAAGAAGTGAGACAGCTTGGACAAAGTTTCATGCTGCAAGAGTTAAATTCAATGAGTTTTGCGTTTCTTTTTGAAAATGGGCTTTTCTCATGGTTTGTTTTGCTTCAGTATGTGTTTCCTTAATGAGAATCAGCTCTTACGTCATCAGATAGAAAACAATGTTGATGCAAATTAGAAATTGCATTGTTTTTTCATATGCACTTTCCCCCAGCATTTTGATGTTCTGGGCTGAACAAAAAAGCGATCACAATTAAAGAGAAAGTATGACTATTTTAAGAAAGAAGCTGAAAATCCTGCAGTACCTTCCTTTAGGGAGAGAAGTGACTGGTTTCAAGGACCCATGAGCTGCTTCACTTTCTGCAGTGCTGTGATGATGAAGCTGCAGCTGAGTGAAGAGGCTGTGAAGACGTTTTGCCTCCTGTGCTCACATGATCGATGGACAGAATTAAGCTTTCCCCTGGATCCGATATCTAGTTTTGATGAAACCGATCTATTTTGGAAGTTGTATGCTCGTCTCATGAAGAAGGAAATCAGTGGCTCAGGATTGAAGGCTGAAAGACACCATCCGACAGTGATACCAGTGCATGCACCTGGAGGGATTTAGTTTGGCTGATTATTTCGTTTGTCCTCTATTTACAAAGCCATGTAGATTCTTAGTGGTTGTTCCAACTCTGTTTTCCTCATATACCTTATGATTTTTAAGTCCACAGTGTTGTACTCTGCGCACCTTTCCATTATAGCATTTTGATGTAAAGAAATTTCAGCTTCTTTCTTAATGTAACACATTACAGCAGAAATGCTTTTTTTTAATGATATGAAGAGAATTACACATTGGTTTATTTTAATATAGTTTTAATTCTTTTTTAAAACACATTTTTTTTTTTGCCTGGGAAACTAACCCAAAATAAGGTCTGTGGATTATGTAGTTTAGTTGTTTTTAAAACACAAGAGAAATTAGATGCGTTTATAAGTTAATTCAGCAGAACCCATCTATTAGGATAGCTAAAATTAAATACTGACTTCGAATACTGGTAAAGATATTTGGAGTATCCAGTACTCTTTACAAACTGCAAGAAGCCCTGGTGGTTTCTTAATAAAACTAATCTGACACCTCCTCATGACCTAGCAATTAAATTAAAACCTAATCCTAGGTTTTAAGACTTTTCAGGAGTGCTCTTATCAACTATATTCATACTAGCCCCAAACCAGAAGCATCCTGGATGTCCATTATTAAAAAAAATTGGGGAAAAGCTAATTTAAGAGATGGTATGTCTGGAGTTTGCCCCAAAATAATGAAGGCTGGAGGGAAAGCGAAAGCAAAAATGAAACCAAATTAGTCATATGTTAAGAACTGTTGAAGCTGGGTAGGCATATTTTTTTTTTTTTTTTTTTTTTTTTGAGATGGAGTCTCACTCTATCACCCAGGCTGGAGTACATTGGTGCAATCTTGGCTCACTGCAACCTCTGCCTCCCCGGTTCAAGCGATTCTCCTGCCTCAGCCTCCCAAGTAGCTGGGATTACAGGTGCCTGCCACCATGCCTGGCTAATTTTTGTATTTGTAGTAGAGATGGGGTTTCACCATGTTGGCCAGGCTGATCTCGACCTCCTGATCTCAGGTGATCCTCCTGCCTCAGCCACCCAAAGTGCTGGGATTACAGGTGTGAGCCAGTGCACCTGGCCGGGATGGGCATATTATACTATTCTCTCTACTTTGATATATTTTTAAGAATTTTAATAATAGAAAAATTGTCCTTGCAAATTTGTGATTGTGATTATTGTCTGAACATAGTAGAGTATTGTTATAGCACCCCAAGACTAATACTTTGGTGAGTAGCCCAGATATATTAACATTCTTCAGAGTTTACAAACTAACTGACTTTCGACGCTTAAAAGTTGTTTAAAATAAGTAGTAAATGTATTTAAATTTCTCCCCAAATTTTCCAAACTTTAGAGTTTTGGAAAATGCAATATTTCTCCTTAGAAAGGAGATGCTATTTGTTATTTATTAGGTCTTCATATTAATGGCATCTGTGTCCCATCTAGAACAGCCACTGCCACGATGCTGGCTGCACTGGGGGAGGCGTGGCTGGGGCTGCATGCTCCATAGAGCTGGTGGGAGCCAGGAACAGGCAGAAGCTCCACCCTATTCTCAGTTGACAGGGTGGGAGCTTCGCCTTCCCTGGGCGCAGCTGCAGCCGGTCAAGCCATGGCTGCAGACCAGGCATCTCTGCACTGTCAGGGGCCTGGGAAGGCTGCCCTTGCCCCTGCAGGCTTGGAGGTGTCTGCTCCCGCTGCCTGGCATCTCCCTGCTCCCGCTGCCTGGCGTCTCCCTGCTCCCAACACCTGCTCCAGTGTCAGAGCGAGGCTGAGGCCGAGCTCGGGCACTGTTGCAGCCTGGCCAGGTGTGCACACGCTCGGGGCAGCACTGACATGCCAGCCCCCTGCCACCTCAGCACCCCCGGACTTTGGGCACTGATGAGCATGGGAGGAAGGCCACGGGCCTGAGGGCAGCTTGGCACTGGCCTGCAGGTGCCCCTTGGCACGAACACCTGGGTGCCATGAACAGCAGTAGGAGGCAGACAGGCCCCTGGGTGGAAGGGCGTGGGTCCCCGGTGAAGCCCCACCTTCAAGACAGGGAGGGCCTGAAGCCTGGGGGTCGGGCTGCTAGTCCCATGGACTGGAGTGGGAACTTGTGGTGCTTTTTCCAAGCCTACCCATGGCCACCCATGAACCTGTCAGCATGCGCTTCCTCCCCTTTAAGACCCACAAAAGCCCTAAACTCAGCCAAACTCGAACAAATGATTACCAGCTGTGGAGAGGAGCTACCCACCCCAGAGTCTCCTGTCTGCTAAGAGCTGAAGAGATGATGGGACAACCAGCTGCAGAGAGGAGCTACCCTGCCAGGGTCTTCTCTCTGCTGAGAGCTGAAGAGACATCAGGACGATCAGCTGCAGAGAGAAGCTACCCACTCCAGAGTCTCCTCTATGCTGAGAGCTGAACACTTGTCAGGACACCCTGGCTGTGGAGAGGAGCTACCCATTGCGAGTCTCCTCCGAACTGTTCTATTGCTCAATAAAGTTCCTCTTTGCCTTGCTTACCCTCCACTTTTCCACATACCTCAGTCTTCCTGGGTACGGGACAGGAACTCGGGACCCAAAAAATGGCAAGTCTAAAAGAGCTATAACGTAAACAGGGCTGAAATATGCCCCTTGCTTGCCATGTTGTGGGCAACAAGAAGAAGAAAGAAGGAGAAAAGAGCTGTACCCCTCTGGGGAGCCCAGATGTAGGAGCTCCCCAGGCCGGGGCTGTAATACCCTCCTTGGGGCTCTGTGGTTCCTGGCATCTCCAAGCTTCTGGGTGCCACCGTGTTTGCTGGTGCCAGCTGTGGAAGCAGCTTGCAGTATGCCTGGTCCAGTGCAACCTCACAGAGAGCCAGGGCCCGTGCTGGTGCCTGGAGCTGCCTGCCCCACTGCAGCTGGCATGCCTGGCTGTGCATAGTGGCCGGACCCCACACTCCTTCACACTCGCTTCACTGCTCTGCACATGGCTCGCCCTTGGTAGGCATGGGATCCAGGCTGGTAGCGTGAGCCGAGTGCAGCCTGCCAGGCCGAGTGGGTGGAACGAGTCCAGTGGGCCCAAGCAAAACTCCGGCAAAGGTGCCACTGGCCACAAAGGAAAAGCATCACCCCAGGAATCCTGTAACAATATTGACTTTAGTTCGAAGAGTTCAACCCACCTTGCACGGAATTTTTAATTTGATGCCTATCTTTATGAAAAGGAAACCTGAGGCTGGGCATGGTGGCTCACGCCTGTAATCCCAGCAGGCCGAGGTGGGTGGATCACCTGAGGTCAGGAGTTCAAGACAGCCTGGCCGACGTGGTGAAACCTCGTCTCTACTAAAAATACAAAAATTAGCCAGGCGTGGTGGCGGGCGCCTGTAGTCCCAGCTACTCAGGAGGCTGAGATAGGAGAATTGCTTGAACCCAGGAGGCAGAGGTTGCAGTGAGCCGAGATGGCACCACAGCACTCCAGCCTGGGCGACAGAGTGAGACTCCATCTCAAAAAAAAAAAAAAAAAAAAAAAAAAAAAAAGAAAAGAAAAAGAAACCTGAATAAGCAAAGAATGGAGAGAAAGGGAGAAGTGAGCAGATAGGAAAGTAGACACACTCTTACAATCAGTGTATGCAGGAGATACTGTTGATAACACTTTATTGGGCACCATGCCACATTTCCCTTGATTCACGGAGGCAGTGGCAATTGTATAAAAATGGGATTATACTATTGCTGGTTAATTTTAAGAATAACAACAATATTTCATGCCTGGAGGTGTCCTCCGATTGCATTTGACAAAATATTCTCTCCAGCTATGTAGCGAAATGATTTTTCTCCTCACTTTGAAGTGAGATGTCTTTTGGATGTTCTGACTTTGTTTTCCTGGACATTGAATAGAGTTTGGCAAGCATTGCCTGGCAGGTGTATCTATATTTGTTATTTCATAGGTATTCTAATTAAGGAGATTTTATAATCTCCGTTAGCAACCCTTTGCTACTGTGTACTTTGGTGTGGATTAGTAGTGTTTCATTGATTTGAAGACACTTTTTCATATCTTAATATTTCTGATGTTGAGATATATAGCCAATGATACCTCACAATTGCAGTTGGTTAGGCAGTGGTTATGATGGGCTGTCATTTCCTGCACATGTGTGAACTTGATCATAGCTGATCATTTGTTGTCACTTCAACTGAGTTGTATCCACTTTTGGCACTACATGTGTTGTCATTTAAAATGTCCTCAGAGGCCAGGCACAGTGGCTCACGCCTGTACTCCCAGCACTTTGGGAGGCCGAAGCAGGTGGATTATGGAGTCAAGAGATCGAGACTATCCTGGCCAACATGGTGAAACCCCGTCACTACTAAAAATACAAAAATTAGCTGCGCGTGGTGCGTGCGCCTGTAGTCCCAGCTACTTGGGAGGCTGAGGCCAGAGAATCGCTTGAACCTGGGAGTCAGAGGTTGCAGTGAGCCGAGATCATGCCACTGCACTCCAGCCTGGCAATAGAGGGAGACTCCGTCTCAAAAAAAAAAAAAAAGTTCTCGGAAGAGAGTATACTGTGATTTGGCATTAAAGACAATGTTGTTATAAATGCAGAAAGGTGTGGACAGAATAGAGGGGAATACACTGGATGTTAGTAAAACAAATATTCAGCATTGGAGGAATTCCATATTATTTTGCAAAGCAACAACCAGGTGCTTTTTAGAGCCTTTTTTTTTTTAAGGAGGCTTTATAGAGCCTTTTTAAAAAAGAGGATATCCCCAAATAGATGAAGCTGTATTTTTTTATTACTGAGATATAACCAAAATAATTTATTGTCACACTAAAGCATTGCATCTGAAGGTAGACCAAACTGCCAAGTTCCCCTGAATAGATGAAAGGAATTTCAGTTCATCAAGAGGCTGGTGTGACCAATTCACATGTCACGAAGGATTATGCTTAATTAAGTCATTGAGTTAGTTAAATTGGCTGAGTGCTTTTCTTTCTTAGGGGTAGAAAAAAAAATAATGGTGTGTCTTACAAGTGATCTTATAAGTGCATCTTAGATGGGATGAAATGCAGGGTGTAGAATGGGTTTTATTATGATCAGGTCTCTATAGTAATGAGGCCTGTCTCACTAGCATACTTAGATTGAACAAAATTGTAGAGACCTAGAAGTGAGATTTTATTCTAGTTGGGCCTGTGAAGGAGAGAGTGTCTTACTAAATGAATCCTTACATAGAAATGACAAGTGGCTTCAAGATTGTTTTCTTTTTAGAAAAGGATTTTTGTTAGCAGTACTTGCTGTCCACATGCTCTAGGAAAGCACCCCTTCCCCCCGCTTCCCCACTGATGATTCATGAGCTGAAAGAAGTTCCCCAGCCTGTGGGGTGTGGGGCTGTCGGTCCAGGTCATTCTTGGTGTTCATTGGTGGCACAGTCCAGTGTGCAGTCCCATTCTGGACTTCCAGTGTCCCCTCTGCCTTACTGCTTTATGTATGACTAACTAGTATTCAAGTAAAGCAGAAAAATTCATCACCCAAAAAACGAAGGACCCTGGTCTTCTCGTCACTTTATTCAGTGGCTCAATGGCAGCCTAAGGAAGAGGAGTGTGCTTTCTCAGATGTTGGTTTTATTATTCCTTTTAATCATAAGCAAATTTGAGTTTAAATCATCATTTTGCAATACAGTTCTGTTGATGTCCTTATTTTTCATAAAAAACTCGACTCACTCCTCATTGCCTGCTGGATAAGCTGCTTAGCATGACGTTGTGGCTCTCAGCAGTCGAACCACAGTCTACCTTTTCACCGCCATTCCTGATTGCTCCCGCTCTACCCCATCCCTCTCCTGTTCCTACCCTTAGCATACCATGGGATCTTTTTAGCTGTTGCCACAGGGCCATGGGGTTGCACTGTTTACATCCCCCTCAGTGTTGTGCGAGAGCATCTGTGTCTCCACAGCCTTGCCAGCAGCACATGTTCCCACACTTGAATTTTTGCCAATCTGATGGGTGAGAAATGTTATCTCAGTGTAGTTTTGATTTGCATTTCTCTTGTTTTGAGTAACCTGTTTTGAGTGAGTCAAAGCAGTCAAACTTTTTGTCTTTGTTTATATTCTTAGTTCTCACTGAAATGCCAGTAACCCCTGACTTTCTGTCTCTCCTCCAAAAAAGGCTTCAGATTCCACATCCTAGCAAAAATATGCCTTCTTCTTTGATGTTTTTAATCTTTCATCTTAGGATTGTGTCCTCTTCTCTACTTCCATGACATGTTACCTACAGCTCAGTTATGCCCTGAAGGGAGGGACCTTGCTCTCCTTCAGCTTTCCATCCCCAGTGACTGACAGTGTCTGGAAAACGATCGATACTATTTCCTGGATTAATTGAATGATTTTTTAAACTTTTTTTTTTTTTTTTTTTGGAGACAGAGTCATGCTCTGTCGCCCAGGCTGGAGTGCAGTGGCGCAATCTCGACTCACTGCAACCTCCACCTCCTGAGTTCAAGCAATTCTCCTGCCTCAGCCTCCCGAGTAGCTGGGATTACAGGTGCCCACCACCGCACCTGGCGAATTTTTGTATTTTTAGTGAGATGGGGTTTCACCATGTTGGCCAAGCTGGTTTCAAACTCCTGACCTCAAGTGATCCGCCTGCCTCAGCCTCCCAAAGTGTTGGGATTATAGGTGTGAGCCACCGCACCTGGCCGCCCGTGCTTAATGAAGCATTTTAAGTTAAGTATGACATGAGAAAATTAGTAATTTTGGTTTGAATTCTAATGAAAGCTTAAACTTCATAATGTATTTGCATCCTCGTTTTCACTGATATTATTCCATGATTTTTTCAAAGGAAATAATCTTTGCAATGAGAGAAATATAGTATTTCAGAATATTTGAAGTTTTTCTAATCTTTCCTTTATCCATAACAAATAAAAATATCTCTAAGAAAAAGCAGAGTAACATTATATTATTTTGTCATTATAAATTACTCTTATTTTCAAAGTCCAAAATAAATCTGTGATGTGGGGAAATTCAGTGTGAAAATAATTGAAAGACTGCCCCTTTCAGTTACAACAACTCTGTAACTCTGATTAATGTATGTTTGCCCTTGTCAGATAAAATATCTCTGTAACTATACTCAGAAGTTTGCATAAAAATGTTTTAACCTGAAAACTTTAGAAGTGTCCCTTTCAAGACAGTTAACTAAATGTCATACATCATTTAAATGATAAGGCAATGGGTAAATATTTCTATGTTGCACATTATAGGAGTTTTTGTTGGAAATGATGAAGTTGGAGACTGTAGCAATGATGATCTATAGCTAAATTATTTTATTTTCTCATGTTATTTTATTGATACTGGATTTTTCATTTTTAAGGGGTTACTCCTCTCCCCTTTTAAAAATGGGAAGAGGTAGTCAAGGGTGGAGGAAGGGAAGTGAGAATGGCATGTAGGGTAATAGTTGTCAGTCTAGATTAGAATAACAAAGAGCAACAAACAAACGCTTGTTTCTAAGAAAAAATATGAGACTGCATACAGTGATAAAAGCAGTCTCAGTGTTTTATAGAGGGAGGCATAAATCATGGTGGTTTCGCTCAGTGGATCAGGCAGCTGTTAAAAGGATTAGAAATGAAGAATTTGTACAAAACAAGATGTTTAATAGAACGTTAAGTGAAAAAACAGATGATGTATTCATATCTATTCTGTTCACAAGTATGTAGAAATATATATACATCTGGAGGGAAATAGAGAAAAATGAGAATTGTGGGAATGCATGATTTGCATTTTATTATAGTTCATATTAATATTAAGCTCTTAAAAATAAGGAGAAATGCAAAGAATGTGTTCAACTCAAGAGCAAAAACAAAATAAAAAGATAGGGGACAAAAAGAGCCAACCTGCCTTTCATAAAATTATTTATTGAGTCATGGAATTTTAGAGATGGGAAGCCTCTCCTAACAGGTCTCAAAATTTTTGGTCTCAGGACTTCATTATACTGTAAAAATTATTGAGGACCCCAAAGAGCTTTTATTTATATGGGTTAAGTCTGTCAGTATTTCCATATTAGAAGTTAAAATTGAGGCTGGGCATGGTGGCTCACGCCTGTAATCCCATCACTCTGGGAGGCCGAGGCAGGTGGATCACGTGAGGTCAGGAGTTCAACACCAGCCTGGCCAACATGGTGAAACCCCGTCTCTACTAAAAATACAAAAATTAGCTGGCCATGGTGGCACACGCCTGTAGTCCCAGATACTTAGGAGGCTGAGGCAGGACAATTGCTTGAACCTGGGAGGTGGAGGTTGCAGTGAGTCAAAATCGAGCCACTGCACTCCAGGCTGGGCAAAAGAGTGAGACTCTGTCTCAAAAAAAAAAAAGTAAAATTGAGAAATAAAAGAAAACTAAGTCACTTAAAAATAATGATGAACCTATTATATGTTAACATAAATAACATTTTTATGACAAATAACTATTTCAAAACAAAAATTTAATGAGAAGAGTGCCATGGTTTTGTATTTTTGCTTATCTTTAATATTTGCCTCTATAGAAGACACATGGATTCCCATGTTTGCTTATCCATTCAATCTGTTGTGATATGCTCTTTTGGTTAAAATTTGGAAGAAAATTTGGCCCCGGACAGCTATATAGTTGGGAAAGGGAGAGTCTTTTAGTAGCCTTTTTAGATAATTGTGGCTTCGTCACATTGTCTCTGGAAAACCCCACTGTACACTCTTCAGAGAATTAGATTGAAAAAGACCAATAATGTCTTAGTATTATTATGAAATATTCCAAAGCTCCGTGAAACTCCATGAAAATGTTTAAATACCTTCCAGGGGTTCCCTGATGACACTGAGAACTGCTATTTTAGCCCTTGAAAGATGAGAAAACTGAAACTCAGAGATGTTCAGTGATTTTCTCCAGATCACGTGGTTGGTGGAAGACAGAGTGCTTGGACATGGCTCTGCTAGTTTCATTCCTCATGTTTTTGGAAAACGTCATATATGGTGTGACTTTAGGACAATTTTTGGAGATTGATCCTAAGTTTATTTATGAGGGTCTTCAGAGATATCAAAATCTAATTCTACCTTGTCATCTTGAAGATTAAAAAAAAAAAACTCCATGATTGGGTGCAGTGGTTCACGCCTGTAATCCCAGCACTTTGGGAGGCTGAGGTGGGTGGATCATGAGGTTAGGAGATCGAGACCATCCTGGCCAACATGGTGAAATCCCATCTTACTAAAAATACAAAAATTAGCTGGGCGTGGTGGCGCATGCCTGTAATCCCAGCTACTCGGGAGGCTGAGGCAGAAGAATTGCTTGAACCAGGGAGTCGGAGGTTGCAGTGAGCCAAGGTTGCGCCACTGCACTGCACTCCAGCCTGGCAACAGAGCGAGACTCTGTCTCAAAAAACAACAACAACAAAAAAAAAACACAAAAACTCCATGGTAGGCAAATCAAAACTTTTTAGAGAAAGTAGTATTAGAATTATAAGTGGATTATAAAAATGTAATTTTTAACACAAGCTATAGAAATATTAAACTTTTAATTTATGACAAAGGATATGATACATTTAATTTTGTTCGCTACTTTTTACTAGCTAAAAATTTTCTAGCATCTTCTATCAGTAATTTTATTTTATATACATGTGTATGTGTGTGTATATATATATATATATATTTTTTTTTTTTTTTTTGAGACGGAATCTCACTGCATCACTCAGGCTGGAGTGCAGTGGTGATATCTTGGCTCACTGCAACCTTTGCTTCCTGGGTTCAAGCCATTATCCTGTCTCAGCCTCCCAAGTAGCTGGGATTACAGGCACCCGCCACCACACCCAGATCATTTTTGTATTTTTAGTAGAGATGGGGTTTCACTATGTTGGCCAGGCTGGTCTCAAACCATCTGCCCGCCTTGGCCTCCCAAAGTGCTGGGATTACAGGTGTGAGTTGCCACGCCCAGCCAATCTCAATAATTTTGAATAGACACTTTTGACTTTATCTTGGTTTGTTGGTTATTTGCATGTCCATAGAGGCATTTTCCATATCTGTTCCTGCATTCAAATATTAGGTGGCTTTATGGTTTTTAATGTTATTCACTGGTTCCTCCCAGATCCCACCAAGGTCTCAAACAATAGTATTCTTGGATCCTGAGATGGAAAACACTTAGGGTAACCTTTATTTAGCCTATTTGGGTAGGTACTTCTCATGCTTCACCATCAGTGCTCATGATGTGTAGAGGCCCTTTGAATGACAGCTCCATACCGCCAATCATTCTGTCAGCCCTTTTGCGTAGTTCTCAGCTCCTCCCGCCCCCCAGTAGTTCCATATTAGAAGTTAAATTGAGGAACTGTCCAATTACTTAACTACTTCCTGCCGGCCTGCAGGCTTTCTGGAGATGAGATTGTCCCTCAGCTTTCTTCATCTTTTCCAGATTTTTATTGCACAGCTTCTTTCCTGCTGTGCCTTCTACTCTACCTCCCTTTTCTATTCCCCATTAAGCAGTTTCTTATTTTAAATATTATTCTCAATAAGATGACCTCCAATTTACGTATACTGGAATCAAGATTCTCCCAGTCGCTAGAAAGATGCAGAGGAATAAGTCTGTCTAGTCTTGAGCCTTATGAGACAGGAACTCTTGTTGGGAGGTTCCGGTGGTTGGTCTGATGGCATCCCTGGGGGCCTCCGTCCTTCAGGCCAAGCATCACAGTGTCTTCACTCCTCGCTTCCGGTTTGTGTTAAATATATATATTTTTAGTGGTAAAAATCAGAGTTATTTTGTAATCAGCCAGCAATATCTTTAGGTCAGCCCTAACCAATTTTATCTTTTCTACCTTTTTTCCCCCCTTGAAATAAATGATTTAAACATTTTATGGGGAAACACCTATATTTTTTATATCCTGTTCTTCACATTAAGAAAGTGGTGGGACTGAGAACAGTTACTTGGGAGAGACCAAGGTGAAATTCTGGGTGTGCTTTTGGCTTCGCCCCAGCCACCACCCTGCCTCTGAATGGTGGGATCAGGACATGGAGGAGGCAGCCGACGGCCATGCACCTCCTGAGTGTGTGCCCTGTTGTCTGGGCTCTTCTTTTGGAACAATTTGAAGTGAGATTTTCATGTCCAGGTTACAATCACGGAACTATCTTGTTGAGTTGTGTGACCTGGACTTTCAGCTCCTTTTTCCTTTTCTTTGGAGCTGGAAAGGTGTCATGTGGGCTGGAGAAAATAAAAAGAAAGTTCATTAATTTGAAATATTGTGGAGAATTTGTTCTCTCTATATCATATAACTCTATTTCTATCTTATCTTTCTAGACTGCTTTCTAATTTGGTGTCTAAGTGGGACATACTCTTTCAGTGTTTCATATACAGTGGAAGCTTACTATATATTTGTTAAAAAGAGAAATAAAGATAGAACAGAAAAATGCAGTCTAGCTAGGGAGATGGTATAACAGGAGCATTGTGATGGGCATTTGGACATGTAGGTTCCAATCTCATCCTTATCGTAACTATCTCTATGATGTTGTCAAATTATTTAAACTACTTTAAGCTTCTGTTTTCTCTTCTGTCAATGAGAAAGTTGTTAAATGATGTCTAGGTGTTTGCCCTTTAAATTATTATTATTATCTTTTCAATAGTTACTTAAGTGCATCTTGTGTGCCAGGCACTGTTAGGAGAGCTGGAAATATGGTAGACAACCAGCCACAGTCCCTGCTCTTATACTTGGGTGTGGGGTGTCTTCTCTTCCCCACTGGAAAGCGGAAATGGTGACTTGAAGGACAGTCTTGGGTTTGTGTCTGATTTGGGCCAGGCCACTACAAAACTTTTAAATGGTTTATTTGCTTATCTGTAAAGTGAATATAGTAATGTCTAACCTAGTTTACCTTATACAGTTGACTAAAATAAAATAATGTATATGGGAATACATTTGAATATACTAATAGTAGTAGTGTAAAGTACAGCATGTAGTAGTGTCTGTAGTAATGTAAAATATTTTATTTTGCTATAAAATTTACCGTGTAATTCACTAAAGTTTGGATGGGAAAAATCCTAAATTAAACTTGGAGTTTGGAGATTCCTAAAAAACTTAAAGTATGTTTGTTTTTCTTCTCTTTACAGAGAAAGATAATGCTAAATATGTTTTTAGACACAATGATGGCTGACCCTCCTCCCCAGTGCCTTGTCTGGCTACCTCTCATGCACAGGCTTGCCCATGTTGAGAATGGTAAGCAGAACTTTTATTGTTCAATTCCGCATGCTATAGAAAGTATAGGAACTGATTATTTGCAATGTCCTTAGCTATTAATATCATTGAAAATTACAGTTGACATTTGCTGTCATTCTGTCATTTCATTTTGTGGTTTTGGCTTTCAGAAGAATTTTTTTTTAAAAAAGGGAGGGTACTTATTACTTTTTTTTTTTTTTGAGACAGAGTCTCACTCTGTTGCCCAGGCTGGAGTGCTGTGGTGCAATCCTGGCTCACTGCAACCTCTACCTTCCGAGTTCAAGCAATTCTGTCACCTCAGCCTCCCGAGTAGCTGGGATTACAGGTGCCGGCCACCACACCTGGTTAATTTTTATCTTTTTAGTAGAGATGGGGTTTCACTATGCTGGCCAGGCTGATCTCGCAGAGACTTATTACTTTAAAAAGGATACCAAGAAGTAGGCTGGGCATGGTGGCTCACACCTGTAATTCCAGCACTTTGGGAGGCCGAAGCGGGTGGATCACTTGTGATCAGGAGTTCCAGCCAGCCTGGCAAACATGGCAAAACCCTGTTTCTACTAAAAATACAAAAATTAGCTGGGCGTGGTTGTGGGTGCCTGCAATCCCAGCTACTTGGGAGGCTGAGGCAGGAGAATTGCTTGAACCTGGGAGGTGGAGGCTGCAATGAGTTGAGATCGCACCACTGCATCCAGCCTGGGTGACAGAGTGAGACTCTGTCTCAAAAAAAAAAAAAAAAAAAAAAAAGAAAGGATACTATAGTAGTCATATCAGATCATACAACTTCAGCTATAGGCTTTTCCTCCCTAAGATTCCAGATGATTGTTTCTTGTTTGAGCCCAACTGATTTTTAGCCATGACTTCCTGCTTCCTCTTTGATTTATCAAACTCATATCTCTAAAAAACTGTATATATGCTATATCAACTGCTAAAACTATAATTATTTTGGAATGATTTAAAGAAAAATAGCCAAGATATAATTTAACAGTGGGTTCCCTTTTTTTTTCCTCATTTTTTTTCCTTCACCATTTTGCCTTGAAACTATTCTTGGTGTCCCTCCCAGTAATTTGACATAAATCTTTGTTTTGCTTTGAGTTAAAATGGTACTTATCTCTTAGTGACTTCTTAATTTTTCCTGTTCTTGCCATCAGTTTATCTCCTCCTTTAGGTTGTTGGAGTTTGTTAAGGGGAAGGCCATTGTGTTTCTAGTAACCTTCCCTCTCTCCAGGCTCTTGCCTTTCTTCATTCCTCAAAAGAGAACGAGGAAGAGCCAAGAGTCCACTTTTATCCCCCCGGAAGAATAAAATAAACATCCATACTGTTTTTATTTTCTCGCTTTCCTATCCATACTTCAGAATAAAATTTTCTCAGCCTTTTACCCAACTATGGCTTTAGTTCACAAGTACCTCAGATTAAGGATTCATTTCTTAAAGGACCAGAATCTCTCTAGACTAAAACAGCAAAATTTTTAAAACAGGATTCTTGGATAGATTTAAATTTTGGAGAGCAATGCTTTTATAGCCTTAAGTGTTTTAGTAGTTTTATGTCCAATTGATTTTCATAAGATCATTTTGTATTTGCTATACCAAGTAGAAAGAGCCTCACTTGTCAAGATGTATTATTATCCATATGCATATCAACATTTTTTTGTGACTTTTATAAAGTGTATAATTTATTGATTACATTCTTAATGTATATGGTTTGTAATATTTTTATCAGAGACAGAAATGTTATAAAATCATTAAAATATCTAGAAATAAAATATGTTACCTATCACACTAATATTTTTCTGTATGTCTTAATTTTAATGGTGAGAAACAAATTATAAAATTATGGTATTTATGGTTTTTTTTTGGTTTGGGCTCTATGAAGTTCATCATGAATTATATTGACATTACTATGCATAAGGAGAAATATTCACTTAAGCAAAAGTTGCACTTTTTAAATTGATTTACTAATCCAAGTGTAGGTATATAACAAGGTAACTAAGTGATGCACTTTACCAAAATAATACTTATACCAGAACCTGAACAGTCCTTCTCTTTCTTATTTATAATTGACCCAACACACTTGTTAATTTTTTCATCATTCTGGTTCTCTGCTTTTCCACCTGTCACCCATTCCACTGACTAAGGATTGGCTCTTGAGTGGTTTGGAAGAGAAGGTAGGAGAATCACATAGACATATATGTTCAACCAAAATTATCAGAATGTATTTGGTAATTTAATACTAACATACATATATCTTTTAATATTAACCTAAATTACTTAGAATTATAAATATTGGCTGCACAGATGTTGACCTCATTGACATTTGCTGAGATTGAGGGAGTCCTGTTCTCTGGAGGAACTATACTAGGTTGTATAGTTAATTTGGAGCACATGCTCTTAATTAGCATTTCCAGCATTCCATAGAAATACCTTGATGGCAAAAAACTGAATTTCTTAGAAGTAATATCCTTTGGATTTCTCATTACTGAGTTTAGTTTTCTTTTAGTCCCTAGTGATCATGCTATATAATCTTGTTATATTGTTTTTATCACCTCATACTCAATTTTTTTTGAGTCTTGATTCACTAGTTAATATATATTTTTGGAAGCAAGTCTAGAAGTCCCTATAATTGAAGTAAGATTGTGGTCTTATATATATAATGCTAGAAAGAGTTGTTCAATGAAGATTTGAATATTCTATCCCTCTTTTCGTTTTCTTTTTCTGTTTGTTTTTGAGATGGAGTTTCACCCTTGTTGCCCAGGCTGGAGTGCAATGGTGCGATCTTGGCTCACTGCAACCTCCGCCTCCCAGGTTCAAGCGATTCTCCAGCCTCAGCCTCCCAAGTAGCTGGGATTACAGGCATGCGCCACCACGCTCAGCTAATTTTATATTTTTAGTAGAGACGGGGTTTCTCCATGTTGGTCAGGCTGGTCTCGAACTCCTGACCTCGTGATCTGCCCGCCTCGGCCTCCCAAAGTGCTAGGATTACAGGCGTGAGCCACCATGCCTGGCCTATCCCTCTTTTCTATTAACTTCCTTTTCTTGTGTTCAGAGTTGAATTGTCAGAGGAAATAATTATGCTACCAACATTTAAAAGTATAAATAGTGATCTGTAACATACAGTTGTGTATTGCCCTTGATAGTACATTGGAATGATTAGATTAGAATCATTAGTCTGTGTTGAATTTTTTTTTCTGATGTATTAAATCTTTTTTTTTTTTCTAGTAAATGGCTAGTTAGACTAGCAGACAATTTAGATTCTTTAGTTCTAATTTTGTTTTGTTTTGTTTTGTTTTTGAGACAGAATCTTGCTCTGTCGCCCAGGCTGGAATGCAGTGGCATGATCTCCACTCACTGCAGCCTCTGCTTCCTGGTTTCAAATGATTCTTGTGCCTCAGCCTCCTGAGTAACTGAGATTACAGGCATGTGCCATCATGCGCAGCCAATTTTTTTGTAATTTTAGTAGAGACAGGGTTTTGCCATGTTGTCCAGGCTGGTCTCAAACTCCTGGTCTCAAGTGATCTGCCCACCTCAGCCTCCCATAGTGCTGGGATTACAAGGGCAAGCCACCGCATCCGGCTCTACTTTTATTTTTACCTTTGTTTTTATATTAGTTTTGGTATTCCTCTGTATTGACTTCATTCTCCAAGTGAAATTTTATTCTTTCTTCTTTTATTCTATCCCTTCCCTCCTGCCCTTTTTTCTCCCCTTTTCTCTCCTGTCCACAAGTCTTCCATCCCGTGGAGTGCTCCTACTGCCGATGTGAGAGTATGATGGGTTTCCGGTACCGATGCCAGCAGTGCCACAACTATCAGCTCTGCCAGAATTGCTTTTGGCGTGGCCATGCCGGCGGCCCTCACAGCAACCAGCACCAGATGAAGGAGCATTCCTCTTGGGTAACTGCTTTGTGTTTCATCTGTGTCCCTGAGTGTTAATCTGTTTGATCAGTAACAGCACCTGGGCCAGTTTCCTCATGGATGCCTACCAAATAAGGGTGTGATATAGTAAAATCTTAACACTAACATTTATGCCAGGATTGCAAAAATGTTGTGCTTCCTCACTTGATTTTAAAAGCAGAATTTTTAAAAATTCCAGGAAACAAAGATAGTACATTTGAAATGGTCTCTTTTATTCAGTAAAATGGAATGTTGCAGTGCTCTCTTTTCAAAGCAAAAAGTGAGTTTCTTTTTATTTTAAAACTGTACAGGCTGGGCACGATGGCTCACACCTGTAATCCCAGCACTTTGGGAGGCCGAGGCAGGCGGATCACGAGGTCAGGAGATCGAGATCATCCTGGCTGACACAGTGAAACCCCGTCTCTACTAAAAATACAAAAAAAAATTATCCGGGCGTGGTGGCAGGCACCTGTAGTCCCAGCTACTCGGGAGGCTGAGGCAGGAGAATGGCGTGAACCCGGGAGGTGGAGCTTGCAGTGAGCCGAGATTGCGCCACTGCACTCCAGCCTGGGCAACAGAGTAAGACTCTGTCTCAAAAAAAAAAAAAAAAAAAAAACAAAACTGTTCAAGGGGATTCCGCCCCCCCATGCTTATTCTTTTGAGCTCTAAGTAAGACTTAAAGTTCTTTTTGCAAGCAAAATTTCCTCACTTTTATAGGGTTTAAATGTGCAAGGAAAGTTGCAGAAAATAAAGGAGTTAAGTATTTATGCCTGTAAAGTTGGAAAAAACATTGTATTTTACAACCATTGCCACATTGGTGTCTTTACCTTCAAAAGTAGTTTTTAAAATAGTAATATCTTGGCGGAAGTCAATATCTGATTTTTCTGTGGTTCTTATAAATTATGTAACATGGTTATCATCAATTATTTTCCTTCCTTTCTCTCAGTTTATTTCCAGAGTCCTAAAAATGCCATATTTTCCCTCCAAAAAGTTGCTACAGCCTTTGTTTTAAAATCTTTCCTCTAGTTTTTGTTTGTTGGTTGGTGGTTTGCTAAACAGTAGAAAAACATGTAAGGTCAGAAGTATAATTCAGGATCTAGGTTCTTTAGCCTGGTTATCCTATTGGCCTTCAAGTATTAGAAAGCTTTAATAACCAGTTTTTATTTTCCCTTTGGTTGTCTTAAAACTCAACCAAGAAAAAGCAAATAAACTCACTTCAGGAATTAAAGAAAAAAGGAAAACAAACTTCAACCCACATCTACACTTAACTCTAGTTCCTTCATCTCTGAAAATCTGTTAAAGATCCTTTTTTTTTCCTAGATAGGTTTCTGTTATAATTAATGATAAAATTTTGTTAAACTGAATATCCTATCCTGGGTCTTGTTGTGTTGTGAATTCCATTTTTTTTGGTGGTGGTGGTTGTGAAGAGCCACTTTTAAAATCCAAAAAAAGGAAAAAAACACAGTAGTTTCTTTTCTTTTTCATTGAATAAAGAAAATTTACAGATTTTCAAATTGTTTCTTTTTGCTTTCTTAAAGTACAAGTACTTCACTATGTTAATTGTTAATGTTTTTTCCACTGGTTTTTTTTTTTTGTGTGTGTGTGTGTAGAGTCTAATTCTTTACACTGGGATAGTTTTTGCTGTTTTACCTTTCATGATGACTGAGTTTGCTGGTATATTTCTACTGAAAATTCTTATTCCGGATGTTGGGGCTAAGAGAATTGGGAACTTCTTATTCCCCCTGGTTTGAATTTCCTCATTTGGCTAACCTATAACTCTTTTAAAAATGGGGGTTTTGTATTTGTTTAGAGACAAGTGACTGATACTGCTTTATGATTTGCATGTTTTCATCTACTCTTGAATTTTTTCATTGAGTTATAAGATACATACAGAAAAGTATACAAATCACAAATGAATTCTTACATTTCTGTTTGACCCTCACAGCACTATTGTGAACTAAGTCTTATTTGCATATGTTGTTATTCTTATTTCAGCTTGTTTTATGAATTCCTTTATTTTTGTTAAAGAGACTTAAATTTTTTTAAAAATAAGCATTGTTATCCTGCATAATTTTGAAGCTAGTGTGATAAACGTATTAGTTCTGAATTTTGATGGATGTATGCCTTGTGTATGGTAGATGCATACTGGTAAGGCTGAGTAAAGAGGTTTCCAGCTAACAAAAAGATGTGCTATCAATTTAATAGTAATTTCTTTGAGATTGTCGGCTGTGTTTATACTAACGTTTTGAACAAATGTTTCTATATGCTCATACGTGAGTTTAAGTGTGTGTTTAACCAGCTAGTATAAGAATTTTCATTGTAGATGTGACATATGAGTTTTAAGTAGTACCTGGAAGTTTATTTTGATTTTTCCAAAAATTTCTGTTGAATGTTTTATCTCAGTAGCTATGCAGTATAATTCATTCTTTTAGTCTTTGGTCCATTTTGTTTGCCTTTATTACAAAGAAAATGCCGTATGGTACCATATCTGAGATTTATCCTGTCTGTTCATTCTTTCATTCAAAATTTATTTTTTAAACACCTACTGTGTGCCAGGTCCTGTAAGAGGTATTTGGGATACATCTATGAACAAACCGGACAAAGACTCCTGCCCTGTGGAGCTTAAGTTTTAATGAGTGTGAAAGAGACTGCTGGAGCTTGTCAGCATTACTTTTTTCCTATTCTTGTTGGCACATGTCTAGACTACACTTTTCAGCCTTCGTGTAGCTAAATGGAACCATGTGAGTAGTTCTTGCCAGTGGAATGCGAACAGAATGATAGGTGTCTTTCCAGAAGAAGACAGTTAATAAATAGCAGGGTGCCTTCTGTACCCTCTCTGCTATCTTGGTGGAAAGAACGTCATTAGGACTCCGCGGAGGGTGAAACCATTAAGCGAAAGGTAACTGGGTCCTTGAATGATGGATGGAGAAGAATATCCAGCAACCCACTTGACTGTGATGGAGGCATGATAAGAACTTTGCGTTAAGTCACTGAAATTTTAGTACTAGAAGTAGAGTTCTGTTAAAATCTTAAGATGTGTGTTATTGTCTTAGCAGTCACGTGGCACACTTGATGAGGAAACTGACATTGGAGAGGGAAAGTCAGAAACCCATGTTATATAGTGGTAACCAATTTGGTAAATGTGTCATCTGTGATAATTTGGAAGGCACGCCTCACACCCACCGGGCTCTAGGTCAAGTGTTGGAAAAGATCAGAATGTGAGACTGTTAATGGTAAGGTGACATAGGATAGAGATGAGCTTAGAAAGAATTGGCTAGTGTACAAGCAATAAATGAAAGGGAACAGAGAAAGCTCTGACTCTTGGGGCAGTGAAAGGAAAAACAGACTGCTTCCAGACCCTAGAGAGAAAGCCTTAAGAGTTGAGAAAGGCTTTAAGCCACAAAGTCCTAGTAGACCTTCTCAGTTGAAAAAGGTGACCCAGTCCTGTGGTAAAGATCAGATGAAGGGTATGGTCTCTTTTTCTTGGCTGATTATCAGAATCCCCTTTGGTTCTGCCTGCAGAGATTCTGATTTATTGGTCTGAGGTACATGAAACCCTGGATATAAACAGTTTTTAAAAGTTCCCCAAGTGGGCCGGGCATGGTGGCTCACTCCTGTAATCCGAGCAGTTTGGGAGGCCAAGGCGGGCAGATATCTGAGGTCAGGAGTTTGAGACCAGCCTGGCCAACATGGTAAAACCCTGTCTCTACTAAAATTACAAAAAATTAGCTGGGTGTGGTGGCGGGTGCCTGTAATCCCAGCTACTTGGAGGCTGAGGCAGGAGAATCGCTTGAACCTGGGAGGCGGAGGTTGAGGTTGCAGTGAGCCGAGATCGTGCCATTGCACTCCAGCCTGGGCAAAAAGAGTGAAACTCCATCTCAAAAAAAAAAAGTTCCCCAAGTGATTCTATCATACAGCCAAAGCCAGAAGCAACTGACCTTGTTCATATGGCCTCCAGGTGGCTTCTGTTAGTTGAAAGCAAGTGGCAAAGAACTACATTAGTCTTAGGAAAGAACTTTTTGTGTGTGGTTACTGGCACATGGAATCAACTGGAAACAAATAGATCAAAGGCCTACTAAGTTTCTGAGGGAATTACATTGGCAAAGAAATTATGAGCCTGAACTGAACAAGCCCTTAAATATTTGAGCTATAAAACTACTATTTAAAAAAAAAAAAACAAAAAACCTCTGAGAACTTGGTCTGGCAGGGTAGGTTGATGGGTTGTGAAGGTTGTGCAGCCCCTCTGGAGGGTATGCCAGAGCCCACCTGGCCCAGAAGGATATCGGATAAGGAAGAAACTCCTGCTCCGGCTCCACCGTTGTATATTGGGAGCAGGAAGGGACGGTGCAGATAGTTTTTTTTTTTTTTTTGGCGATGGAGTCTCGCTTTGTCGCCCAGGCTGGAGTGCAGTGGCGCGATCTCGGCTAACTGCAAGCTCCGCCTCCTGGGTTCACGCCATTCTCCTGCCTCAGCCTCCTGAGTTGCTAGGACTGCAGGTGCCCACCACCACGCCTGGCTAATTTTTTGTATTTTTAGTAGAGACAGGGTTTCACCGTGTTAGCTAGGATGGTCTTGATCTCCTGACCTCGTGATCCACCTGCCTCGGCCTCCCAAAGTGCTGGGATTACAGGCGTGAGCCACCGCGCCCGGCCTGGTGCAGATAGTTTGCCTTTTTAGTTCATAGATTGCATCTTAAGGAGTTCTGTATGATCCTTATGAAGAAGACTGTGCCATATCCAGAGATCCTGGATGCACCGACTGAATTGGACTGCACGTGTTCTGCCTGGGCATGTGTGGCATGGTGGGAGGAGGCAAGGGTGCTCTGTGCATAAGAAAAGGGAACAAAAAGGTACCTGAAGATTGAAGTTTCAGTAGTATCCACGGTTTCCTTTGCTTAAATTCCACTGGAGAGAACTAGTCATATAGGCCCATCTGGCCACAAGGAGGGTATGTTGTATATTATATATATATATATCGCTTCTCAGCCAAGGCAGTTTGAAGCAGGTGTGCCTCTGTCTTTACCCCCCACTGCCGATATACATTGACCAAATAGAATGGTCTCCAAAGGAACTGGCTGAGGCAGAAGTCCTCAGATGGAGGAGGCTGGGCACCTGCATGGATGGAGCACAGCCCTTCTGCCAACCTGCATGGGACTCTAACATGAGCAGAGTAGCAAGTGGAGTCAGGAACTTAGGGCTGGGGAGATTGGAGGTTGAATAGGGAAGTCATATAGGCCTTGTTGAGAAAATGAGATTTGAGCACTCTTAGAAGTTTACCAGCAGAGATCTGGGGAAGAGAAGAGGTAGTGTTCAGGGTAGGGGTATACCTGTAAATCCAGGGAAAGAAGCCAGCATGGCCAGAATGCAATGAGCAGGGGAGGATTGTAGGAGACAAGGTGAAAACATTAATGTGGGCCCATTGACCATTGTAAGGACTTTTACTCTGAGTGAAATGAGGAGTCTTTATAGGGTTTTGAATAGAAGAATAACATGATATGATTTATATTTTTAAATGGTCAGTCTAGATGCCATGTAAAGAGTAGACAGTAGAAAAGAAAGAGAGGAGCAGAGAGACCATTTAGGAGAAATTCTAATGATAATTAAAACAAGATATGGTCGGACAGTAGTAAAGGTTGTAAAAAGGATTGAATTACAATATGTTGTATACATCAGCCTAATGGGTTGGATGTGGCTTGTGAGAGCGGAGGAGTCAAGGAAAAGTCTAAGATTTTGTCCTGAGCATAGAAGGATGGAATTGCCATAGACTGAGATGGGGAATGCTGTGGATGGAGAGCATTTAGATGTTAGGATCAAGGATGAACCTTGATTCACCGTTTGTTCCGGACATGTTGAACTTAAGTTGCTTATTAGATATCCGTCCATATGGAGTTGTTGAGGTCATTGTATATTATGAGTCTAGAGTTTAAGAGAGAAGTCTGAGATAGAAGTATAAATCTGGGAGTCAATGGCGTATATTTAAAATAGCCATGAGACTGGGTGATACCACTTACACCATGAAGAGAATGAGTGAAGATAGAGCAGGAAAAAGAGGAGTAAGAACTGACCCTTGAAGCTCTTCAATATGAGGACATCTGGGAGAAGAGGAAGATCCTGCCTCCAGTGAGGTGGGATGAAAGCCAGGAGAGTGTGTGTTCTGGAAAACAAGTGAAGAATGTGTTTTGAGGAGGAGGAAGTGATCAACTGTGTCAAATGCTGCCAACAGTCAAGTAAGGAATAAGAACTGACCCTTTGTCTAACAATGTGGAGATTGTCTGGAGAACAGTTTCTGTGGAGTGATGGGGGCAAAAACCGATTAAAGTAGGTTTAAGAAAGATGGAGACAGCTAGAATAGCTAAGTCTCCTAATGAATAAATGAATATCTATTTCTAACCCATTTTTTTTTCTTCTTTTTTTTTTTTTTTTTTTTTTTTTGAGACAGGAAACCACTCTATTGTCCATCTGGAGTGCAGTGGCGTGATCATGGATCACTACAGCCTTGACCTCCTGGGCTCAAGCAGTCCTCCCACCTCACCCTCCTGAGTAGCTGGGACTACAGTCGTGTGCCACCATTCCCAGATAATTTTTGTAGAGACAGTGTTTTGCTAGTTTTGCCCAGACTGGTCTCAGACTCCTGAGCTGAGCACAAGTGATCTGCCCACCTCTACCTTCCTGTGCTGGGATTACAGGCATAAGCCATGGAGCCCAGCCCTCCAACACCATTTCCTTTTTTTTTTTTTTTTTCCAGATGCAGTCTTGCTTTGTTGCCTAGGCTGGAATGCAGGGGCACGATCTCGGCTCACTGCAACCTCCCCTTCCCAGGTTCAAGTGATTCTCCTGCCTCAGCCTCCTGAGTAGCTGGGATTACAGGCGCCCGCCACCACGCTCGGCTGATTTTTGTATTTTTAGTAGAGACAGGGTTTCACCATGTTGGCCAGGCTGGTCTCAAACTCCTGACCTCAGGTGATCTGCCCGCCTCGGCCTTCCAAAGTGCTGGGATTACAGTCTGAGCCACCACGCCCGGCCACCATTTCTAATAGTAGTTCCTATTGGAATTTTAGAAGACTCATTAGTTGCACTTCACTTTTCCTCCCCACAAGATGACAGCCAGGAGTTAGGCAAATGGCAGTCTGTTTGAGAAAGTAGTTTTAATTGTGGGGAAACTGTGGACTTGCCAGTAGCCCCCGAATCAAATATACCCCCACCCAACTGCTGGCATTTCCAGCAGGGAGCAGATCCTGAACATTTATGGATCTGGGTGGAGAGGAGAATTCGTGCTCTCTGCGGAGTGTGCAGATCCCAAGAAAAAAGGGAGAGGAAGGGGTTGATCTAGGCATGTTCATTTCCTTCTCTAAAACCAACCAGTCTGATTAGGAGAGGAGTGAGTGAGGGTCAGAGAGTCCCTCTACCTGGAAATAAGAGAGTGGACAGTAACTAAATATTAATTTTTGTATTCAAACATGCAAGGTTATATCAGTCTTCTTCTTTGAGACGCTTGATAAATATTTGAGTAACCTTGCCATCAGTACTGTGGTGTTCCAGTGACTCTTGCTGCATAATAAGCAGCAAAAGTTAGTGACATTAAACACCAATCATTTGATTACACCTGCAGATTTGGATGGGGTAGAGGGTTGGCTTTTTTCTGCTCCATGCCATCTGGGGCCTTCGCTGGGGTGACTGAAATACCAGGGTTGGAGGATGTGGCTTGAGTGACTGGAGGGTTCTTCCCTCCTGTGTCTGAATGCCCTGGGATGGGGAAGGCCGGGATCTGCTGGAACAGACACTGGGGCCACCTATGTGTGTTCTCTTAATGTGGCTTGTGCTTCTCACCTCTTGGCCGCTGTGTCTTAAGAGACAGCATCCCTAGAGGAGGCATCCAGACAGCAGTTGTCCAGGAGAGCATGGCCGAGGCACAGGCCTTTCACCCCAGGCGGTGGGAGGAGTGCAGCCTCACTTCTGCTGCGTTCTGCCTTATGTGAAGAGTCACTGAGGCCAGCCCAGAATGAAGGGGAGGAGAACGGGACTCCACTCATGGTGCCGGTGATGGTTGTGGGAGGGTCACATTGCAAAGGTGCCTGTGTGGTGGAGACATTGTCGCAGTGATCTTCTACCCAGTATCTGTTTGGAAATTACACTCTGTCCCACATGGGATAAAGCCTTGTAATCAGAACAAGGGTTCCCACATAAGTGGTTAATTTAACCATAGTGATTATTATGTTTTCCTACTAAATTATACTTTTTGAAGGAAGACTTTATTAAAACAACTAACTATAATATTTACTAGGATTTTTATTACCATATTTAAATAGGTTAGTTTTTTTTAAGTAAAGTATTTTGGGTATATAATTGTGTGTGTTTTTTTTTAAATCACTATTAAATGGTCTTTAGCCTTAACCTTCCTTTTCCTTGATCTGGGCATACGTGCTTTTCTGATTCACTTTAAACCAAACTCCCTCCATGCCTGCGTACTTCCTTCCCTCCCTCCCAAGCTCCTATTAATTGTGTGGTAAAATATATGTAATATAACATTTACCATCTTAACCATTTTTAAGTGTATAGTTCAGTGGCATTAAGGACATTCACATTGTTGTGCGGCCATCACCAGCATCCATCTCCAGACCTTTTTCATTTTTCCCAACTGAAACTCTTCAACCTTTCTTTTCTTTTCCTCTTTTTTTTTTTTTTGAGACGGAGTCTCCCTGTGTCGCCAGGCTGGAGTGCAGTGGCGTGATCTTGGCTCACTGCAACCTCTACTTCCCAGGTTCAAGCGATTCTCCTGCTTCAGCCTCCCAAGTAGCTGGGACTACAGGCGCGTACCACCATGCCAGCTAATTTTTGTGTTTTTAGTAGAGATGCGGTTTCACCATGTTGGCCAGGATGGTCTCGATCTCTTGACCTCATGATCTGCCCACCGTGGCCTCCCAAAGTGCTGGGATTACAGGCGTCAGCCACCGCGCCCAGCCTTCATTCAGCCTTTCTTGATATGCAAGGAAGGCTCATAGCAAATATGCCTCCTTCTCTGCCTTCCATTCAGATCTCTGCTTCCTTGGTTTCACTTTACCAAGATAGATCTGATTCCCATCTAGTTACTCCTTGGCAGGAAGTCTCTCACTCTGTATGTCCATTGATACAAAATACGCCTGTACCACAGATACAGTTAGTAGAGGGCCTTCATGGAGGGTAGTTATGTAACTGACTGGTTGATAGTATGGAAATTTCACCTTTCTTCCCAGCAGATGGCAGAGTCCACCTCTGAACAAAGTTACTTATTGTGTTCTTCAAAATCTTCTATAAATGAGGAAGTATTTTGGATTTCTTTAACAATCTCTGTTAAATAAATATTGCTTTACTTAAAAAAATGTTGATGGACAGCTTATATATGTGCAGCATAGTTGTTTGGGCATTAGTGATAGCAAAAGTAAGCCATTCAGGGAGTCAGAGCAAATTTTCTCGTGACAGACCTGGATCAATTGAGATTGTTGACTTATCTTGGTCAGAAGCAGTGTTCAATTTCCATGTGACTGGTGTCCCTCTCCTCACATCTCTTGAATTATGAAAGATAATATGTATTCATGGGAAAAAGGTGTGCTTACTGAGCATGCTCCTGACCAGTTTTAAATAGCCACGTGTCATAATTAAACAATTAACTTTGTGCAAAGTACAAAACTAGACAATTTTTTTTTAACTTATAAGACAATATCCCCACTTGTGGCAAGCAAGAGCTAAGACATACACATGGAGAAATTAAAAACAGAATATACAAAATCAAGTCCTTTAACCCAATGGCCACCTCTTCTCAAAGAAACTGCTGAGGCTGGGTCTGCCATGCCCCCTGTCTCTGCTTCTATCAGTCAGTGTCCTTGTTTAAGCTGTCTGACCTCTTGTCTTGGGTGACACCAGCATTTTATCATGGTCTGTACTTCCTGCCTCAGCCCAGCTTTCTCATAAGTCAGTCCTCCACAGCTCACTTCCCTTTAGCACCGCTGGTCCTTGGCCAGCAAGCTGCCTTCACTTTCAACTGCTTCTCTGCACATTTCTTCCACCCCCTGTCTCCATTGAAATTTGGCTGTCCTGGAAGAACGCCACTTCCCTGCAACCCTTTCAGGTGGTTATTTATTCTCTCACATCCCATGCATTGACTATTAGGGTCAATTGACTATCGACTATTAGGGATTGACTATTAGGGTGACTGTTGACTATTAGGGATTGACTATTAGGGTGACCATGTAATTTATCATCAAAACCAGACCCACTTGAGTGTGAAAGGAGACACTATTAATTATGCAGGGACAACATGCATAAACTGTGATTATCTTGGACAAACCAGGACTTGTGCTTACTGTTTTAACTTTGTTTTTGCATTAAAAAATTACTACAAATTTAACTGCTTAAAATAGTGGAAACTTATTGTCTCCGTTTTTGTAAGTCAGAAGTCCAGGCTGTCTACTCCAGGTGTCACTGAGCTGAAATCGAAGTGTCAGTTGAGGCTGTAGTTATCACCTAGGGCTTAGAGGGCCTCCTGCTGGCTCCCTGTTCGCACAATTTGTTTAGTTGCACCTGTGGTGCTGAGGTCCCCATTTTCCTGCTGGCGGCCAGCTGAGGATGAGTCTCAGCTCCCAGAGGCTGCCTACAGTTTCTTTTCATGTGGCCCCCCATAGGCAGTTTGCAACACGAACATTTGCTTTCTTCTCGGCCAGCTAGAATGCATCTCTCTGATTTTCTTTCCTGCAACCAGCCAGAGAAATATGGCTTTTACGGGGTTCATGTGATTAGACCAGGCCCACCCAGTGTAATCTCCCTTTTGCCTTATAACATAATGTAATCGAAGGAATGATAGCTTATCATATTTATAGCTTCCACCCACACTCAAAGGGGAAGAGATCATACAAGGACAGGGTTCGCTGAAGGTAAACAGAATTCTGCCTACACTAGTCACCCTGATTATTTTTCTACCTGTTTTCCAATTAGCTACTTCTAGACTATTACGTCTTGAATCTCTTAGTTTTTTTAAAAAAAGTAATATTAGCAAACCAAATTTGGAAGAACATACAAAGGACTATACAACATGAGCAAGTGAGAATTACCCCTGAAATGCAAAAGTTGGTTTGCATGCAAAAATCAGTATAATATACCTTGTTAACAGACTAAAGGATGAAAAATAAGATCATCTCAATAAATATGAAAAAGGAATTTGACAAAACCCAAAATTCTGTCACGATAAAAAAAAAATGCAATAAACTGGGAATAGAAGAGAACTTTCTCAACCTGAAAAAGGACATCTATGAAAAACCCACAGTGGTCAGTCAGAGTGGCTCACACCTTTAATCCCTTCGAGAGACTCAGGAGGGAGAATCACTTGAAGCCAGGAATTCGAGACCAGCCTGAGCAACATAGTGAAACGCTATCTCTACCAAAATAATAACAATAATGAAAAAAAAATAGCTGGGCTTGGTGGTGTACACTTGTAGTCCTGCCTACTCAGGAGGCTGAGGTGGGAGGATCACTTGAGCCTGGGAGGTTGAGGCTGCAGTAAGTTATGATTGCATCACTGGCACTCCAGCCTGGGTGACAGAGTGAGACCCTGTCTCTTAAGAAAGAAAAACCCACAGTTAACATCATACTTAATAGTGAAAGACTGAAAGCTTTTCCCCTAAAACCAGGAAAAAGACAAGGATATCCACTCCTGCCATTTTTATTCAACATTGTACTGAAGGTCCTAGCCAGGGTACTTAAGCAAGAAAGCAAGCAAAATGCATCCATATTGAAAAGGAAGAAGTAAAACTACCTCTCTTCACAGATGACATGATCTTGTATATAGAAAATCCTAACACACACAAAAAACCATTATAGATAATAAATTTACCAAGTTTATAAGATACAAAATCAATACAAAAATATTAGATTGGTGCAAAAGTAATTGTGGTTTCCCCGTTACTTTTAATGGCAAAAACTGCAATTACTTTTGTACCAACCTACTTCAAAAAATGCAAAAATTAGTTATATTTCTCTATATTGACAATGAACAATCTGAAAATGAAATTAAGAAAACAGGTTCATTTACAGTAGCATCAAAAAGAACAAAATAGGATTATATTTAATCAAAGAAGTACTAAACTTGTGCACTAAAAAGTGGAAAACATGGCTGAAAGAAATAGGCCGAGTGTGGTGGCTCATGCCCATAATCCCAGCACTTTGGGAGGCTCAGGTGGGTGGGTCACTTGAGGTCAGGAGTTTGAAACCAGCCTGGCCAACATGGTGAAACCCCATCTCTATTAAAAATACAAAAAAAAAAAATTAGCCAGGTGTGGTGGCGCGTGCCTGTAGTCCCAGCTACTTGGGAGGCTGAGGCAGGAGAACTGCTTGAACCTGGAAGGTGGAGGTTGCAGTTAGCCAAGATCGCACCACTGTGCTCCATCGTGGGTGACAGAGAGAGACTCCATCTCAAAAAAAATAACAAAAAGAAGAAATTAAGACCTAAGGAAATAGACATGCTGTGTTCATGGGTTAGAAGACTTAACATTTAAAATGACAGTACTCCCCAATTCATCTACAGATTCAGTGCAGTCTCTATGAAAATCTCAACTGCTTTTCTGCATAACCCCATAAACTGATCCTAAAATTCATATAGAAATACAAGAGATCCAAAATGGTCAAAGCAGTCTTCAAAAAGAGAAGCAAATTTGGAGGCTGAGGCAGGTGGATCACAAGGTCAGGAGATCGAGACCATCCTGGCTAACACGGTGAAACCCCATCTCTACTAAAAATACAAAAAATTAGCCGGGCGTGGTAGCAGGTGCCTGTAGTCCCAGCTACTCAGGAGGCTGAGGTAGGAGAATGGCGTGAACCTGGGAGGCGGAGCTTGCAGTAAGCTGAGATCGCACGCACCACTGCACTCCAGCCTGCAGCCTGGGCGACAGAGTGAGACTCCGTCTCAAAAAAAGAAAAAAGAAAAAAAAAGAATAGCAAATTTGGAAGACTCACACTTCCTGATTTTAAGACTTACTTCAAAGCAATAGTAATCAAGACGGTGATACTGGCATGAAGATAGAATTGAGACTCCAGAAATAAACCCTTGTATTTGTTGTTGTCGATTTTTCAATGAGGGTGATGACCATCCAATGGAGGAAAGAATAGTCTTTTCAAAATATGGTGCTGAGACAACAACTGGATATTCACAGGCAAAAGAATGAATTTGGATCCCTGCCTTATACCATATGAAACACGAATTCAAAATGGATTATAGACCCCTTAATGTAAGAGCTACAACTATAAAACTCTTAGAAAAAGAGATTAGATGTAAGTCTTTATGACCTTGAGTTAGTGCCTTCTTAAATATACTACCAAAAGCTCAAGCAACAAAAGAAAAATAGACAAATTGGACTTCAACAAAATTAAAGATTTTGGTGCTTCAAAGGGTGCCATCAAGAAAGTAAAAAGATAACCCACTGAGTAGAAAATATTTACAAATCATGTATCTGATAAGGGACTTGTATCCAGAATTATAAAGAACTCTTAAAACTCAGCAACAACAAAAACAACACCCCAACTAACCCAGTTTTAAAATGGGTAAAGGGCAAAATAGAATGGTCGTTATCAGTTGGGAGGAGAAAATGGGAAATTATTGTTTCATCAGTATAGAGTTTCAGATTTGCACGATGAAAAAGTTATGGCAACGTGAACATACTTAACACTACTACTGTACTATACACTTAAAAATGGTTAAGGTGGTAAATTTTATGTTGTGTGATTTTACCAGTGAAATATGTAGATTAGGCTGGGCATGGTGGCTCATGCCTGTAATCCCAGCACTTCGGGAGGCTGAGGCAGATGGATTGCTTGACTCCAGGAGTTTGAGACCAGCCTGCCCAACACAGTGAAACCCCATCTCTACACAAAATACAAAAATTAGCCAGGTGTGGTGGTGGGTGCCTGTAATCCCAGCTACTCTGGAGGCCGCAGGAGGATCACTTGAGCCTGGGAGGTGGAGGTTGCAGTGAGCTGAGATTGTGCCACTGCACTGCAGCGTGGGTGACAGAGTGAGACTCCATCTCAAAAAAAAGAAAAAAAAGTAAATTGGGGGAAAAAATGGGGAAAGGATCTGAATGGGTGTTTCTCCAAAGAAGATATACCAATGGTTGAGATGCACATGAAAAGATGTTTAACATAATCATGAGGGAAACACAAATCAAAAACACAGTGAGGTGCTATTTCGTACCCAGTAGGACAGCTAAATAAAAAAGACTGACCATAACAGTGTTGACAAGGATGTAGAAAAATCAGAACCCTTATACTTCGTTGGTGGGAATATAAAATGGTATAGCCACATTGGAAAACAGTTTAACAGTTTCTTAGAATGTTAAACATAGACTCACCATGTGATCCAACAATCTGCTCCTAGGTATACACCCTTGAGAACTGAAAATACATGTCTCCACAAAAACTTGTATGTGAATGGTCATGGCAACATTATTCCAAAGAGCTAAAAAGTGGAAATAACCCAAATGTCCATCAACTGGTGACTGGACAAAGTGTAGTTTATCAATACAATGGAGTACTATTAGGTAAGCAAAAGAAATGAGGTACTGATACACACTAAAACATAGGTGAACATTGAAAACATGCTAAGTGAAAAAGTCAGACACAAAATGTCACATATTGTGTTACTCCATTTATGTGATATGTACAGAATGGGCAAATGCATAGAGACAGAATGAAATATACAGAATAGGCAAATGAACAGAATGTACATTAGTAGTTTCCGGGGGCTGGGGAGAGGGAGGAATGGGAAGTGGCTGCTGAGTATTGGGTTTCTTTTTTAGAGTGATGAAAATGTGCTGAAATTAGATATTAGTTATGGTTGTACAACTCTTTGAATATATTAAAAACCACTGAATTTTACAGTGGGTGAATTTTATGGCATATGAATAGTATCTCAATGTATTCTTTTTTTGCATTACTATAAAGGAATACCTGAGACTGGGTAATTTATAAAGAAAACAAATTTAATTGGTTCATGGTTCTGCAGGCTGTGCAAGCATGGCACCAATGTCTGCTCAGCATCTGGTGAGGGCCTCAGGAAGTTTACAATCATGGTGGAAGGCATAGCAGAAGCAGGCAGATCACAGGACGAGAGCAGGGGCAAGAGGGGGAGAGGAGGAGGAGCCAGCTCCTTTAAACAGCCAGCTCTCCTGTGGACTGAGAACTCACTCATCACCAAGGGAATGGCACTAAACCATTCTTGAGGGATCCGCCCCCATAATGCAGTCACCTCCCACCACGCCCCACCTCTAACACTGGGAATCACATTTCAACATGAGATTTGGAGGGGACCCACATCCAAACCATATCACTCAATAAAGCTATTATTTTGTATTTTAAATTGGATGGCTAGGGAAAGCCTTTCTGAGGTAGTGACATTTAAACTGACATTGGAATGACTAACTTGAGGTTGGTAGTTGTGAATTCAGCTTCAGACCAGTCAGCATAGCTGTGTATTTCACTCCCACCACACATTGTGTGGGTGAAGGCAGAGAGTGGATAGGGTTGGGTTTTGATAGAAAAGTATGACGAAGGAAGAGAAGTGGCAAGGAGGGGGGTGTTGAGTGTGTGCAAAGAAAATATAATATCAAATGTAGACATGGAGCTTGGTTCAAGAGAGAAATTAGGCCGTGAGGGAGACAAGATAAAGATGGTAGGCTCAATGTAGTATAGGTTCAGTGGGTTGAAGTATTTTTCTAGGCAGACTACTAGAAGGAATGTGCTAGAAAGACAGAAGTTGGTGAGAGTAGGTGCTTGAAACTGAGATTTCAGGTAATGTACAGTAACTGGCAATAAAATGTTGTAGGTAGGAGGTGACTAGAAATGGCAGCCAACATAGGGTGGGAGAACAGTTGCTGAAGAAGAATTCAGAGAGGACATATGTATTAACAGATATATTAGCTTCCTGTGGAGGCCATAACAAACTACCACCAACCTGGGGTCCTAAACCCTCTCACAGTGCTGGACACAAGTTTGAAATCGAAGTGTCAGCAGAGCCACACTCTCTCTGCAAGCTCTAGGAAAGTATCTCTTTGTATTAGGATTCTCTAGAGAAACAGACTCAATAGGGTGGGCACGCGCATGTCTGTGAGATTTATTGTAAGGAAATGGCTTATGCAGTTATGGAGGATGACAAGTCCCAAGATCTGCGGGGTGAGTTGGCAAGTTGGAGACCCAGGAGAACTGATGATATAGGTCCAATCCTGGTCTGAAGGCCTGAGAACCAGGAGAACCAATGGTGGGTAGTTCCAGCAGGCTCCAGACCTAGAAAGAGTTGATCTTTCAGTTTGGGTCCAAAGGCAGACGTTTGAAGACAAGAGGACTTTTTTCTTATTCAGGGCTGGGTCAGCCTTTTTGTTGTATTCAGGCCTTCAAATGATTGGGTGAGGGTCATCCACACTAGGGAAGGCCATCTCTTTTACACAGTCTACCAATATAAATGTTAATCTCATGCAAAACACCCTAAAAGGAACACCCAGAAGAGCATTTCACCAAATATCTGAGCTTCTCATAGCCCAGTCAAATTGACACATAAAATTTATTTTATTTTATTATTTCTTTGAGACGGAGTCTCACTTTGTCACCCAGGCTGGAGTGCAGAGGCACAATCTCAGCTCACCGCAACCTCCCAGGTTCAAGCTATTCTCTTGCCTCAGCCTCCCGAGTAGCTGGGATTACAGGCATGCGCCAACATGCCTAGCTAATTTTTGTATTTTTAGTAGACATGGGGTTTCGCCGTGTTGGCCAGGCTGGTCTTGAACTCCTGGCCTCAGGTGATCCACCCGCCTTGGCCTCTCAAAGTGTTGGGATTACAGGCGTGAGCCACCCACCACGCCCGGCCCCTTGACACGTACATTGAACATCACACTGTTCTTTCCCTCTTCCAGCTTCTAGCTGCAGTTGGCGTTCTTTGACTTTGTGGCTGTGTCACTTCAGTCTCTGCCTCCTGGGTTACATTGCCTTCTTCTCATCTGTCTCTTCTCCTCTGTGTATCTGTCTTATATGAAAATACATTTGATTGCATTTTGGGCCCAACCAGGTAATCCAGGGTAAATGCTTCCTCTCCCATCTAGATTCTTAAGTTAATTTTGTCATAGAAGGTAATATTCACTCTTCTGCCATATAAGGTAATGCAGGTTCCAGAGATTAGGATGTGGACATATCTTTTGGGGGGCCGTCATTCATCCCACTACGATCAGTGCATTGGAAAGATCAACTGTAAATGTTGAAATCAACAAGAATTATGACAGTAGTAATGTTGGACTCCGCGAAGGAGGGACAACTTGGGTTTTGGTCTGATTATACGACATTCAAAATCGGAGTTTTAAGGAAAAGGGAAAATGATCTGAGAGTGGCAGTGTGGTTCTAGGAGGACTTCTCCTCCACCTGGAGGTCTAGTTGTTTGAGGGGTGTGAGAAAGAAAGCAGCTGCCACTTGAAATGGCTGCAGGGAAGCTGAGCCTTCAGGGAATGCCAGGTTTCCTCCTAGAGCCGTAGGTGAAAGCAACATTCAGAGAAGAGGTTGATGCGTAAGCCTCGGACAGAGGAGGGATTTTGCCGATGCTGGACTATGAAGACAAGGAGAAGGGTTTTGAGAGTTGAGGATTGGGGTCGCGTGAGGGGATGTACTGAGCCTCACAGGAATAAAAACCAGGTGAGAGTCTTGGATTTCTTATTTTTAAAAAGTATAACCTGATATAAAGGTCGTGCTGGAATTAACCCCAGATAGGCAGATCATGGCACTGTGGCAATGTGTTAGTTGAGAGGGTGTTGGTTGCCAGGAACATGCAGGGCTCTGGGTTCATCTTTTTACTCTTGTTGATGGTGTTATGGAGGCCTGGGGAGAAGTGCTCTGAAACTCTCCCATTCGACAGCTGACTTAGAGCTAAAGTGACTGCTTCGTTGACCAGAGGCCTCCCTTTGAAATTCTGGACTTTCTAGAGCCCCCCAAGGGTTAGGGGGAATAGTCTGGGATATCCTGATAACCTTTATCCGCATTTTCAGTAGGTTGCTTGGGATGTTTTAGATATTGCTCCTTTCAATCATCTGAACGT
Source organism: Homo sapiens (assembly GCF_000001405.40). Taxonomy (NCBI): domain Eukaryota; kingdom Metazoa; phylum Chordata; class Mammalia; order Primates; family Hominidae; genus Homo; species Homo sapiens. The sequence goes on along the minus strand of NC_000002.12, from coordinate 25,558,750 downwards.
TGCCCAATTCTACTGTGTTGTTTGCATGCACGATTTATTCATAAAACCACTTACAGCTGCAAAAATGCTAAGTTTAAAACGAGAACATTCAAAATGGACCCAGCTGTTTAAAAAGATGGATGCGATCAAATAAAGAATTGGTGTGTAGTTTATGAAACAATAAGGCATTTTTTCAACTGTAGCCTGATTATTCTTAGAGCGATGACAAGGAGGTTTTTCCATTACAAAGAAGTGTATGACTTAGCTTAAACCAAGCAGTTCTTCAAATGAGCAATTTCCTGTGGCAGTCATCACTTAGCCACAGCCCTTTTGTCAACTTTAGATCTTTTTTTTGTTCTTGCAGATGGCCACCAGAGCTGCACTGGAGAGTGCATCTTCTGCTTCCATGTGTGGGAAGATCACTGTGTTCTCTGTGACCCAGTAGTGTGAATTGCTTATCTGTTTCTGCATTAACTCAAATTTATCAGTGATTATTGCCTGAATACCTCATGCTTTCTGAGATCTACAGGTACAGATTTAGGGTTGAACTCTTTCTCTAAATAAATTTAATCCATGTGTGTTATATGTTGTATATCTTCATTTAGTGACTACGAAATGTCTAGCTATGAAATGTGCATGTTAATTACTCATTAAGCCTTTGGATCGCCTTTGATGAGCCAGATCCTGTGCTCCCCGGCATTCTCTTGCACACCTTCTTTCTGAATGTTTTCTCACAGTTCCGGCTTTTACATGCCCCTCACTCCACCCCAGACGCTAATAAATTTCTGCAGTTCTTAGTTCCAGCTCGTTCTTCTTGTTTAGGTTAAGACTCCTACATTCAGAGATCTCATGGACATTTCTGTCTTGAAGTCTCACTGGTTCTTCTGTCAATATGTGGTTCTAATAATTTTTCAGTTCCTTTTCTTGGACTTCCAAGTAGATAATTACATCATCTGTAGGAAGCAGCAACTGAATCACTTTCTGATAGTTTTACCCCTGTCTCAATTTTTTACCTCTTTGTGTTAGTAAGAACTTCTAATTTGTGGGGAAGCAGTGCTTCCCAGAATTCCCTGGAAAGAATCACCTGGGCTGTTTGTTAAATATACAAAGTCCCAGGCCTTCACCCTTGGGAATATTAGTAGGTCTGGGTTGAGGCTGAGGAATCTGCTTTGTTTTATTTTTTAAACAAAGGCCCTGGACATTTTTTATCTTGAGAAAACTTTGGAAAACACTGTTTTAGAGCAGTGCTAAATAATAGTTGTGATAGTCTTTTGTTGCTGCTTTTAGTGTGTCTGTACCATGTGTGATGTCAGTGGACTGCTGGCTCTCCTCCTATTTTGACCTGTGGTAGCACTTGTGACAGCTTTGGAACTGTGATGTGTCCGGTGTAGCGATACAATGGGCTGTCTAAACAGGGCAGCGAGCTTTCTGTCCTGGTATTCATTCAGTGACATCTCAGTTCCAGGCCCTGGAGAGTGCCACCATACACAGAAGCACATGGGAAGACCTCTTAGTCTTCCAACTCTCATACTCCCTCTAACTCCAGTCTGCCTTTCTTGGGATCCTGGCTGCCTGTGGATCTACTTCCATAGTATTTGTGTGCTCTGCTTTTTTTGGTTTTAGCTGACTAGAACTTTTGTTTACCTAAACCTGAAATATTGGTCACACTCCTTCCTACTTCAGTTCTGCCATGGAACCCATTACTGCATTTGAGTGCCAGAGAACTGTCTGCTGTCTGTATTCGAGAAGCAACTTCTAATACAAAGATGACTTATAACACATGAAAGTTTTTTCTTACAGAGTAATGTTTTGAAAGCTTTTACAGTTATGTCTTTGGTCTGAGACTCTTATTTATGTCTTCCACTCACAGGCAGCACTATGACAGTGTTAAACTATTTGCAGTTGCCTAATACACTATATTTTCTTAGTTTTATGTTTTTGAATCTGCGATTCTAGTTTCCTTTATCTCCTCTTCTCCCCATCCTCCCAGCTTTCCCTTACCAACCTCTGTATATCCTTTAATTAGCTCAGGTATCACTACTTTTTCTGATTCTCCGAGTGGTTTGATGTGTCTCTTCATGGCCCGCTATATCACACTGAATACCTCTTTTAAAGCACTTTTCACACTGTTATAATCATCTTCATAGAATCTGCTTATTTGTCTATATATTTCATTAGATTGTAAGTCCTCAGTTTATTTTCAGCCTTTGCATCCCAATTACCTGCTACACATAATCAACGTTTATTGAAGAACTTTATGAAAGTTGGCATTTTCCACTTGTTCCAGTTTTAAATTACTTTCGATTTTGGAAATGTTCATTTTATGCCCAGCCAACTTGCAAAAAATGTAGGAGATTGATAATATTCAGTTTTGGCAAGGGTGTACAGAGGAGAACTCTTGAAGATTCTTGGTAGGAGTATGAATAGATAAATGCAGGTGACAGAATTTAAATGCATGTAACCTTTGACCTAACAGTTCCTCATATAGGAATTCTCCCAGAAAAAACACTTGTACCAAGTATACTAGGATTTTTGTAGGAGAGTATCATAGAGTATCATGGCAGCGTTATTTGTGATGGCAAAAAAAAAAAAAAAAAAAAAGAGAGATGGCCAAAACACCAAAACATCCATTAGTAGTGAAATGATTAAGTTTATTATGGTATGTACTTACTATGGGATTCTGTGTGGTAGTCATAATAAGTGAAATAGATCTGGAAAGATCTATTTTATTTTATTTATTTTTATATTTTTTGAGACTTAATCTCACTCTGTTGCTCAAGCTGGAGCGCAATGGCACAATCTGAGCTCACTGGAACCTCCGCCTCCTGGGTTCAAGTGATTCTCCTGCCTTAGCCTCCCAAGTAGCTGGGATTACAGGCACACGCCACCATGCCCTGCTAATTCTTTTTTGTATTTTTAGTAGAGATGGGGTTTCACCATGTTGGCCAGGCTGGTCTTGAATTCCTGATCTCAGGTGATCCACCTGCCTCAGCCTCCCAAAGGACTGGGATTACAGGAGTGAGCCACTGTACCCAGCCAGGAAAGATCTATTTCATATTAAATAGGTAGTCATAATAAGTGGAATCGATGTGGAAAGAGGTTCATATTGAATGAGAAAAGCAAGTTACATAGCAGTATATATAATGATCTCAGTTTTGTAAGAATAGATTTGATTTTGTGTGTGTTTATTATTTTTCTTATTTATGCATAGGAAATTGTCTAGAATAGTATGCAAAGGAAAAAAGCCCTGTTTATCAAGTTATGCTATTTAAATTACTTGATTTTTTTCAATGATGTGTAATATTCAGTATTCATTTAATTTGTCTTCCTCTGGAATGTCTGAGTTATCCTTTTTTGAACTAGCAAGTAATATATAATTTCTTATTATGAAATATATCAAGCATATAGAAAAGACTTTATTGGCTTTTTAACATTTTGCTGGATTTGCTTCAGACCTTTTTGTTTTTTTTTTTTTTTTTTGGAGACGGAGTCTTGCTCTGTCGCCCAGGCTGGAGTGCAGTGGCCCGATCTTCGTTCACTGCAAGCTCCGCCTCCTGGGTTCATGTCATTCTCCTGCCTCAGCCTCCCAGGTAGCTGGGACTACAGGCACCCGCCACCACACCCAGCTAATTTATTTTTAGTAGAGACAGGGTTTCATCGTGTTAGCCAGGATGGTCTCGATCTCCTGACTTCGTGATCCGCCCACCTCGGCCTCCCAAAGTGCTGGGATTACAGGCATGAGCCACTGTACCTCGCCCAGATCTTTTTTTAAAAAAAAGAAAGAAAACATTACAGAGAAATTTGAAGCTCTCCATATCCTCCAAACCCATTTTCCTCCTTCCTCAGAGATAACCTCTATTTTAAATTTGGTGTTTAGTATTTTCATTTATATTTTTGTTTTTTATTACTCATATGTATGTGACCATTCATAATTTATGGTGTTGTATCTCATGTTTTTAAACTTCATCAAAATAGCATCATGGTGCATGTACCCTACAACAGTTTCCTTTTTTAACCTGCATTCTTTTTCAAATGATCTCCATGTTGATGTGGTTATTTTCAGTGCCATATAGAATCCACACCTGTTATCCTCCTATTGATTGACATTTAGCTTGTTTCTAATTTTCTACTTTTCCAAACACAGCTTCAGTGGATTTTCTGGTACAAGTCTTCTGGTGCAGCGTGGAGAGTTTCTCTTGTTTTTAGGAGTGGAATCCTTGGGACGAGAGGAGTGTGCATTTTCAGTTTTATTCGATATTGCTAAATTACTCTCCAAGCTGGCTTTACTATTTTACACTCCTACCAGCAATATATGAGCTTTACTTATGGGTAATATATTACCTTTAATTCTCTTGTAAAGCAGTAAAATTCTCAATAAATTTTTTGAAAAAAAAAATGAGACTATGAACTGCTGGTTAAAACTATATAGAGAAAATAAATTCTGTCCATGATATTAAACTAATGTTTAATAGAAAAGCCAATACTCAGTGCAACATTTTTCCCTGTTGTGTGTACTCACCTCATCCCCCTGTCTCCATTTGAATGCTTCCCACCCAGGCTAAATTGATGACAGCCCAATTAGGAGCAAAGCTTGGCCTTGAACTTTGGTCAAAAGCTTTGTTTTTCCCTATACACATTCACAGCTTTTTCAGTTTTAAAAGTATTAGCATTTCATGTAGCAGTTATTCGTATTTCAAGGATACCCTTCTTAGCCCCAGGGTTGGTGTGTATGGAACCATAAATTTATATTGGCTATCATGACAGATCTAGTAATGTGTCAGTCTACTGATGTTGAATTCTAGCAAATCTTTGTATTTTTTTTCTCGAAAGGGAAGCCAAAGCTATTTGCCGCTGAGCACAAGATGCAGCTGTCCTTATGTAGCTCCCTCCTTGGCTGTTGTTGAACCAGTTGGAATAACAGTGGCTTCTTTTTCGTGGGTTAAGGGGTTTTTGTAATCTATAAGCATGTTTCAGATATGTGAACAAATTACATTTTATTCTACCTAGCCTTTTTTTTTTTTTTTTTTTTTGAGAAGGAGTTTTCGCTCTTGTTGTCCAGGCTGGAGTGCAGTGGCGCCATCTCAGCTCACTGCAACCTCCGCCTCCCAGGTTCAAGTGATTCTCCTGCCTTAGCCTCCTGAGTAGCTGGGATTACAGGCGCCTGCCACCACACCCGGCTAATTTTTTTGTATTTTTAGTAGAGATGGGGTTTCACCATGTTGGCCAGGCTGGTCTCAAACTCCTGACCTCAGGTGATCTACCTGCCTCAGCCTCCCTAAGTGCTAGGATTACAAGCATGAGCCACCGCACCCAGCCCTACCTAGCCGTATTTTTATTACTGTGAGCTAAAACTCCTAAGTCTTGGAAGATTAACAAAAATTACATGGATTATATTTCTCTCATATGTTAATCAAAATTATAGCTTACCAGTTAAACTGGAGCTTAGCAATTCTAATTTTTCACTTTTTATTGCAGTTATTTTGAAGCCTTTTATAAAATAACATATTGGTTGAGTGATGTGTCACATGCCTATGACTATAGGCATACTCCCAGCTACTCGGGAGGCTAAGGTGGGAGGATTGCTAGAGCCCAGAAGTTTGAGACCAGCCTGGGCAACATAGTGAGATCCCATCTCTTAAAAAAATATCAACTGGGAGGCCGAGGCGGGTGGATCATGAGGTCAGGAGATCGAGACCATCCTGGCTAACAAGGTGAAACCCCGTCTCTACTAAAAATACAAAAAATTAGCCGGGCGTGGTGGCGGGCGCCTGTAGTCCCAGCTACTCGGGAGGCTGAGGCAGGAGAATGGCGTGAACCCGGGAAGCGGAGCTTGCAGTGAGCCGAGATTGCGCCACTGCAGTCCGCAGTCCGACCTGGGCGACAGAGCGAGACTCCGTCTCAAAAAAAAAAAAAAAAAAAAAAAAAAAAAATCAAAAAGAGAAATTATATAATTTTCAAAATAAATTTTTATGAACTTTAATTGTATAAAAAGAAATGGGAATTTCAAAGTGGTAGACGGAGGGCACCTTACTTCTGAGGCTTAGATAGATTAGAATTTTTAAAGTAATCTGTAAGTACAATGGGCAGGGCAGGCGGAAGGAAAGGAAACCCTTAGTAGGCCTCAGGCTCTGAAGAATCTCTGTGAAAAGTAGATGAGATCTGTTTGCAAAAGGAAACCTGAGTCCAGAACCAGGGCAGGCGAGCATTGCTGCTAATGATGGGGATAGTGTCGTCAGTGTTCTTGCTTGGAAGTAGTTGCTGCGGGGAGCTGTGAGGGGCCCAGGGCCAGTGACAGGGCAATGCTGGAAGTGTAGCATGGTGATGGAGGTGTCTCAGGCAGGTGTAGAGTATATAGGAGCTTGGATTGCAGAGACAAGGTAGGGTTCCAGGTGCTGGATGGATTCTAGGAAAACAGGAAGCTACCTTGCTAAGAAGACTAGCTATAAAGCTTTTCAATGAGGTGGCACCTTCCATCCCTCTTTCACTCTCACTGAAAACAACTCCCATTCCTGCCCTCCAGGCAGGCAGCACACAGAGTAGATGTCTGAACAGGAAGTCTTGACTACAAAACTGAGCACTTAGTTAAAAATCACCCCAAATGAGAGGAACACAACTGGAGAAGATAACTGAGGAGGTAACAAAAGAATTTATCTTAGAAATAGAATTAATAGAATAAGCAGAACTAGATTTTGCAGCAACTATAGTTAATTCCTCAGAGAGATATGAGCAGTTATGTTTTCTACCAAAAATAATTAAGTAGTGATCCTGGAAATTAAATGTTTGATTGTTAAAATAAGAAATTAAATAGATGAGCTGATTAACAGGGTTTATAGCTGAAGAACAAATTTGTGAGCTGGAAGCTAGAACAGAGAAGTATTCCTTAGTACATTACTATTATTATAAAGTAAAAGAAAACAAAGTGTAGAGGATGGATTGAGGAGTTCCTTCTAATAAGAGTTCCAGATAGAGGCTAAAGAAAATGCAGAGAGATGATACTTAAGCAATAGATCCAGTTTCAAGATGGTTGACCAAGCACATCCTGACCTTGTCCTGTTTCTACACCAAATCCATAGAAATGGTAAGACATTAAGTTAGATTAATAAATTCCCTTTCCAGATTAAAAATAAGAAATGTTCCATACCCAAAGCTGTAAGATATCTTTAAGTGAAGGTGGTATGTGTTAAAATGAGAAGTTGCAGAAGGGAACCGCTAACACTGCCTGGAGGAAGTTCTCAGTACTGCTGGGACCCTGAAGCTGCTCAGCCAACTCCTTCAGAACAGATTCAGCCAAGGATCCCCAGCCGGGAGGCCACTGTTGACTCACATTGCAAGTGGTCAGTCCTGGAGGATGTTTGCATGGCCAACAACCATGAAAATCCAGGGGAAGCCTAGCACAACAATATAAAATATGAACATATGAAATATCAAAAGCAGATTTATACCCTAGGAAGCAGAGCAATCAGGAAACTTTAAATATAGGTAAATATAATTTCCTTAGAAGACCAAGGATAGACTTTCATGCGCATTAAAACAAGCAGAAATCATAATAAACAGGCAGTCGTGAAAATGAAAAATATAGTTGTTAAAGTAAACTCATTGGATGGGCTACATAGCAAATTGGATGTAGCTAAAGAACAAATGAGTTAACTAAAAGATCAGGGTGAGAAGAAGTTCTTCCAAAACTCAGCATCAAGAGATAAGAAATAGAGTATGAAGGAAAAGTTGAGGCATTTGGGACAGTGTGGAAGTTCCATTATTTATCTAATAGGAGCTGTCAGTGAAGAAAATTGACCAGAGACAATGTTTGAAAAATTGAGGTCTCAGCTGGGTGCTGTGGCTCACGCCTATAATCCCAGCACTTTGGGAGGCCGAGGTGGGCAGATTGCTTGAATTCAGGAGTTTGAGACCAGCGTGGCCAAAATGGTGAAACCCCATCTCTACTAAAAATACAAAGATTAGCCGGGTGTGGTGGCACGTGCCTGTGGTTCCAGCTACTCAGGAGGCTGAGGCAGGGGAATTGCTTGAATACAGGAGGCGGAGGTTGCAGTGAGCCAAGATCACGCCATTGCACTCCAGCCTGAGTAAAAAAGAAAAGAAAAATTGAGGTCTGAAAATATTCTAGAATGTCTGAAAATTATTTCAGAACATCTGAAAATATTCTAGAATTTCCAGTACTGAAAAGGTATAAGCCCTCAAATATTAAATAGAATAGGCATCATTGTGATAATGATGAAGAGAAATTCTTAGGAAACACTGGAGAGAAAAGACTGATGGTCTTCAAAAGAATTGAAATTCAAGTGCTAGATGTCATCACTGGTTTTAAGAAAACAATAGCACCGTGTTTTTTTTTGTTTGTTTGTTTTGTTTTTGTTTTTGTTTTTGAGACAGAGTCTCGCTCTTTCACCCAGGCTGGAGTGCAGTGGCGCGATCTCGGCTCACTGCAAGCTCCGCCTCCCGGGTTCACGCCATTCTCTTGCCTCAGCCTCCCGAGTAGCTGGGACTACAGGCACCTGCCACCACGCCTGGCTTATTTTTTGTATTTTTAGTAGACACGGGGTTTCACCGTGTTAGCCAGGATGGTCTCGATCTCCTGACCTCGTGATCCGCCCACCTTGGCCTCCCAAAGTGCTGGGATTACAGGCGTGAGCCACCGCGCCCGGCCAACAATAGCATAGCGTCTTTAAGCTGCTGAGAGAAGTAACTCTGAACTAAAATTCTATCCCATCCATACTAGCTTTCAGCAGCAAGTGTACCACAGTAGCATTCTCAGACTTTAAGGACTTTGCTGGAAAAACTGTTTAAAGATATACTGGCTGGGCACAGTGGCTCACACCTGTAATCCCAGCACTTTGGGAGGGTGAGGCAGGAGGATCACTTGAGCTCAGGAGTTCGCAACCAGCCTGGGCAATGTGGTGAAACCCCATCTCTACAAAAAATACAAAAATTAGCCGGGTGTGGTTGTGCATGCCTGTAGTCCCAGCTACTTGGCAGGCTGAGGTGGGAGGATTGCTTGAGCTCAGGAGGTCAAGGCTGCAGTGAGCCATGATTACTCCACTGCAGTAAGAAAGAAAATGAACCCAGAAGGTAATAATGGGATCCAAGAAAAAAGAAGGAAGCAAATAAATCAGGAAAACAACAATGGTCCATCTAAGCAAATGTTGGTTGTAAAATATAAGATGATTTTTAATAAGTTGCAATTTAGGTCAACAAAGTTAGCAACAAGGAATTTTATGGGTAGGTGGAGCAAAAAGGGAAATAAAAACATGCCAAAGAATTCAAGAGGACTATATAAAATGTAACTCCAACTTGTAAGAAAATATTATTTTAAGTATGCATTAAAAATTTAAGGGTGACTACTAGACAAGTTAGATATAAAATATAAACTTTAAACCTATTATAAGATAACAGTAGCAAAAACAACCTTGACCAATCCAAGAGAAGACAGGAAAGTAGGAGAAAAGAAAGTCATGAAAAATAGAAGATACAAAATAAGTCCTATGATTAAATTTAAATGTATATATTGATATATGTATATTCATAATCAAATATATATTACTGATATATATATCAGTAATCAAAATAAATGGAAAAACTAAACTCATCTACTTACAAGATAAAAACTCAGATTTAAGAAAACAACAAAAACCACTTAGGTGCTATGTTAGAGGATACAGTTAACAATAAATATTATTACATATATTATAATTTTACAAAATATTAACATGAGACAAAACAACTCAAAGCAGGCAACATTGGGATGGACCGAGGGAGACTTCAAATGCTAGAAAGTGAAATTTGTCAAGAATTGGTGTCAGCACAAGCCTGTTTATCCTGCTCTTAGTAACATTGCATGTTTGTGGGTGTATGTATTTATGTGTATGTAAACATATACATAAGTAATTATTACAGAGGCTTTCTGAGTGATGTCCCCGGTTCTGCCCTTTTCCCTTCAGTCTGTTCTAAATATAGCAGCCAGAATGGTTCTGCTAAAAGCATCAGATCCTTATCTGCTGGATGCACTCCAAGAGCTTGTCACCTCATTCAGGGTAAAAGCCACAGTCCTTACAGTGGCATAGAAGGCACTAGCCCACCTGACCCCCTTACCTCTCAGCTCATCTTCTGCCCTACTCCCCCTTACTCCACTCCAGGCTGACTGCGCTCACATCTTGCCATTCTTTCAACACACCAGGCAAACTTGCATTTTAGGGCCTCGCACTTGCTCTTCCTTTTGCTTGGAGAGCCCATTCCCCAGATGTCCATGTGCTTCCCTCCCTCACCTCCTTCTGTTCTTAGGAAGAAGCCTCCCTGACCACAATGCAGTAAAATTGGAAATTAACAACAGAAAGGAAAAAAAAAAAACCTTAACACACATCTTGAATTTTAAAAGAATATAAACTTCTAACTTTATGGAATGACAAGAATTCATAATCAAAATTAACAAAATTAAATGACTGGAAAAGCACAATGTACCTAAACCTATGCTTTACATCTCAAATGATACTTGATGAAAAATCATAACCTTACATGTACTTTCTAGGAAAGAAAAGATTGAAAATAGAGGAACCTAGATTTCAGTACTCTGAAACTGAAAGAAGTACTGATAAATCTGAAGTAGAAGAGTAATAAAAATGAACCTAAAAATTATTGAAATAAGAAACTTGATCACGATAACAAAAAGATGGCTATTTGAAAAAATTAGTAAAATAGGTCTAATTTATTGACTAATTTCTTTAAAGTACAAACATAATTTCAGAAATGAAAACTGATATGGGGTACAGACAGTTTTGCTTTCTGTAATTATAAGAAAATACTATGAACAACTTTATGCTGATAAATCGGAAGACCTAAATGCAATATACAATTTTCTAAGAAAATAGGTATTACCAAATTTGGTAAAAGAAGTAGAAAATCTTTAATAGTCAATAAGCAAGTTAAAAATATTAGAATGAGAATCAAAGATCTACATTCCAAAGAAAGCATCAAGCCTCGACTATTTCACAGGTGAGTTCTTTCAAAACTTCAAGAAACAGATAATTTTCATTTGATATATACCATTCCAGAGTACAAAATTGGAATGTATCCAACCAATTTTACTAGGCCAGCATAACCTTCATCCCCAAACAGGCAAGGACAACACCAAAAGAGAAAATTATAAGCTGTCTTCCCATAAGGATACAGGTGCATATTTGGGAGGCCAAGGCGGGTGGATCAGCTGACGTCAGGAGTTCAAGACCAGCTTGACCCAACGTGGTGAAACCTCGTCTCCACTAAAACACAAAAATGGGCTGGACATGGTGGTGGGTGCCTGTAATCCCAGCTACTCCGGAGGCTGAGGCAGGAGAATTCCTTGAATCGGGAGGCGGAGGTTGCAGTGAGCCGAGATTGTGCCATTGCACTCCAGCCTGGGCAACAAGAGTGAAACTCCATCTTAAAAAAAAAAAAAAAAAAGGAAAGAAAGAATACAGGTGCATGACTCTTAGTGGTAGATTAAAAAAAAAAAGAAGTATACAGGTATAAAATTTCTACATTAAAAAATTAGTAAATTTATTTGAGCATTATCAAGTAGCACTTATCCTGGAAATGCAAGAATAATTCAACTTGCATTTAAAATAATTGAAAGTCTGGCCAGGTGTGGTGGCTCATTGCTATAATCCCAGCACTCTGGCAGGTCAAGGCGGGAGGATCACTTGAGGCCAGAAGTTTAAGACCAGCCTGGGCAATGTAGCAAGACCCTGTCTCTACAACAACAACAAAAGAATTAACTTAGCACAGTGGTGTATGCCTTTCGTCCTAGCTACTCAGAAGGCTGAGGTGGGAGGATTACTTGAGGCCAAGAGATCAAGGCTATGGTGAGCGCTGATTGCACCACCTGCACTCCAGCATGGGCAACAGAGCAGGATTCTGTCTCCAAAAAGAAAAAAAAAAAAAGAATAGAAGATCTATCCTATCTTGTTGCACCAACCTAATTGCTGACTCCAGCAACATGGCAAACTAAGCTAATTGTAATCTCCTTTCTCCAATGACAGAGACATGCACGCTGGATTAAACATAACAACAACAATTGAAATGTAGAATTTAGCTTGATTAAAAGTCAGAGAAAGCCCTGGCTATCAGAATTAAACCTAACACTGTGGTGTTCCAGGGGTCTATCAGATTGGATACTGGATTTAGCCCCAGAGGTTAGGGTTTAGTGCCCCCATGAAGTAGGAAATCTGTCTTGGGTTCACGAAACAAGGTAAGTGGAACTAATATTTCTGTAAAGGCCAGGACTTTAGAAGAGCTGCCTCCTTAAAACAAAGAGGGGCTAGAAAAACTCCAGTGGCCCAGAGAAGGTACAAAAAATATCCAGCAGCCAGGCTCTGGGAAAAAAGAAAACTTACAAAATCTACCAGTTTTCTGAAAAGTTTAGAGGAAAAAGATTTTATTCTAGTGAACAGTTTGCACACTGGGGAGATGCAGCCTTTGGCACAAAATGAAGCCTTTGGCACAAAACCTTGTGAGAGAACCAAGAGAGGGTTGTCTATTATAGGGAAAGGTCCTGTCCAGGTTCCCACCCTGGTCCACTTATGCAAAGGACGGTTGCAGACTTGCCTAGTTCTGATTGGTTGATGTTTGCTGAGTTCTGATTGGTTGATGCAAGTCACAGTCTATTGCCTGAGGTAGGAACAGACAGTTATGAAAGTCCCAATGTTAAATAAACATAGGGTTTGCTGGGAAGGCAGAGTATGTGTGTGACCTCTAGCCAGCAAATGGCTGCTTGGCTGTATTTGAATTTAGGCCATTTGCCACTCAGGATTCATCTGGAAGGATTGACTCTTTCAGGGTTCGCAAGTTAAAAATTAAGTTTCTAAGCCGGGCACGGTGGCTCATGCCTGTAATCCCAGCACTTTGGGGGGCCAAGGCAGGCCCATCACTTGGGGTCAGTAGTTTGAGACCAGCCTGGCCAGCATGGTGAAACCCCATCTCTACTAAAAATACAGAAATTAGCCAGGCATGGTGGCACACACCTGTAGTCCCAGCTACTCAGGAGGCTGAGGCAGGAGAATTGCTTGAACCCGGGAGGCGGAGGCTGCAGTGAGCCAAGATCGTACCACTGCACTCCAGCCTGGGTGACTCTGTCTCAAAAATAAACAATAAAGTTCCTCAGGCCCAGTAGCAGCATTTCTAGTGTTCAGTAACCACACGGGGCTAGTGGCTTCCATATTGGATAATGCAGGTATAGCAAGTCTTCATCATCCCTTAAAGTTCTGTTGGATAATAGCACTGCTCTGAAGTACCTGCCAGAAGAAGACAAAAAAAATCCCTCTGTAGCCATACACTTCCACAGCTCAGTTCAAATGGGACTCCTATGCAGAAAACAACCCCTGCTAAGGGTGAGCTTATTACCAAAAATTGCAAACCCAATCACAAAACAATCTACTGTGAGGGAAAATCAGCAAACAAACACAACAGATAGGTTTAGCATGCCAAGAACTTTAGAAATGGCACATTCAAAAAGTTAAAGAAATGAAATTGGGAATAGTGGCATTGTTAAAAGGGACAAGTTGAATGAAAAAAGGCCAAATTTAACTTTCAGAAATCAAAAATATTAAAGTTAAGCTCAATGGAGGGGTTAAATAGAAAGTTAGAGACTGTTCAAGTGAAAATTAGGGTATGGGAATTAGATGTGATGAGATTAATCAGAATACAGAGTGCTGAACACAGATAAAAGGAGATGGAAAGTGTGAAAGGTGAGTAAAGGATATAAAGGGTGGAACAAAAAGATCAATCCAGATTTCTCTACCCAGCTAATCTATTCAAGAGCAAAGAAGAAATAAAGGTATTTTTCAAAAAAGTCTCAAGGAGTTTGTCACCAACAAAACATTGCTGAAAGAATTAATAAAGGATATACTTTGAGCAAAAAATAATTTGAGGCAAGAAGGAAGAAATAGTGCAAAGTGGAATTGATAAATGTGGATGACTTTAAGCACCAGGTATAAATAATAATTACTAATTTTGGTGAGCTTATAATAAGGTGCAGCTGAAGTACTAAACTATGGCATGAAATTGGTTGAGGCATGATTAAAGGACTGAAGTTACTAGGTGAGGTTACAGATGTTGATTAAGATTGTGGTAAGTGTTCATGTTAAAATAGAGAAAGTTGTTGACTTGTCTGAGGCTTTAGCAGGCTTTGTACCAAGAGTCTGCCACTGGGGGATATTTTTCTGCTTAGATCCCCTCAGATGGTGTGGCTTGGAGTTCAGGATGATGTGCTCAGAAAGAGAGAGTAATTGGAAGTGAAAATGACAGGAATGGCCTCAAAGTCACCAATCCTGAGCTTTTTCCATTAGGCTGTTATGTTCCCAATGTCAGGGCCTGTCAGCGTATACCCTGAGCTGAAGATTGTGCTGTGCAAGGAATTAGCTTGAGGCTGATTGAAAACACAGTAATCTGAGCTCAAGAAAAAGTTTTGCAGAGTATCGCAGTGCCTGGTTCATGGTTATCCGAGGAAAACAAGTCTCAGCCCTGGCACAGGAGCACACATGAAACCATTGCAGTGAGTCGCCTGCTGCCCACTTTGGAATCTGTCCCTCAGTTGGACACCGTGTCCCCACCCCTGACTCACCTTCATGACCCAACCCGCGAGCCCTGAGGGTGGTACTCCACATCCCCCACGCTGGGCTGCGGGTGCCTGTTTCTTTCTAAGAAATAGAATGCCTCACTGCCGTGGCTGTCCCTCCTAGTTGCCAGCGGTTCTTTCTCTTGAGTAATTTTACCTGTTGAGGGGCTGTTTGTACCACAAAAAGAGTGACAGACCTGGTTATATGAGCCTTAATTTTTACACTGAGTGTTAATTTCTGTGCCTATATGTTAACATCTAATTCATAAAACTATTTTGAGAGTTAAAAGCACCCATTAAGTCCCTGACAGTAAGTTCTCAATAAATGTTACTTTAACAACAGCAACAACAAAAGTAGCTGCTAGAAGAGTAAACTCAAAGAGCAAATTTCCAAAAGAGGAAAATAAAATAAGAAAATAAAACCTGAAAAGGACAAATAGGAAAAAGACGAAACAAGTAATGACATAATAAGCCATAAAAATGAATAAAAATATATTACTAATCAGTAAATTCATTAAATTTTCTAGATAAAAAGCAACAGTTGTCAAATATTTTTAAGAATCTGTCTCAGCCAGGCGCAGTGGCTCATGCCTATAATCCCAGCACTTTAGGTGGCCGAAGTGGGCAGATCACTTGAGGTCAGGAGTTCCTGACCAGCCTGGCCAACATGGTGAAACCTGTCTCTATTAAAAATACAAAAATTAGCTGGGCGTGGTGGCGCGCACCTCTAATCCCAGTTACTCGGGAAGCTAAGGCAGAGAATCACTTGAACCCGGGAGGCAGAGGTTGCAGTGAGTCGAGATCGTGCCACTGCACTCCAGCCTGGGCGACAGAGCAAGACTGTGTCTCAAAAAAAAAACAAAAAACAAAACAAAAAAAACCTGTCTCTATGCTGTTTACAAGAGACAGCCAAAAAATAAGGACACAGAGAACTTGTAAGTTAAGAATAAAAAAGACATACCAGGCCAAGTACTAATCAAAACAAATTTGTTGAAAGTATATTAGTCTTAGAAAAAGGATTTTAAGGCAAAAATCTTTACCAGAGAGGTTAGAATGGTAAACTTTAGACTTTGTATATTTTTATCATATTTAAAAAGTCTTTACCAGAGATGGTTTATCAAAGATAAAAAGACAAAATTAACAATTCTACAGATATATAAATTAAAAGTTAACAGGAACACAGTGAGATTGAGAAATACATTTTCAAACTGGATAATTTTAACATATCCAGCAATGAATGATTGCACATTTTTTTTTCAAATACACAAAAATTGACCACATAAAGGAAGCCTCAAAAAAGAATTAGTATAATATCATATAGACTGTATTCTCTGGGAAATCAAGGATAAAAAGATAAGAAAAGAACTGTACATTTGGTTATTAAAAGCTAAGTTGAAATTAACAAATTTCTAAAACAGCGTTGCTTACCAAAACCGATTCAAGATGGAATAGAACACCCAAATAATAACATAATTATTAAAGAAATTGAATTTGCTCAATATATTTACACAAAGGAAACAACCAGGCCTGAGTGACTTTTTGTGAATTTCAGCAAACATTCAAATAAAAGAATAATTGCAGTATTATACAAAATTTCCCAGATTCTGTAGGAAGTAATGAGCATGCCCAGTTTCATTTTTGAGGCTAGAGGGAATAACATTGGTACCAAAGTCTTAAAAATCAGCAAGAAAAGGAAAATTACAAGCCATTCTCTTCTTACAAATATAAATGAAAACATGAAGAAGATAGTAGAAAACTCAATTCAGCAGTGGTTAGGAAAAATAATATATCATGACCACACTGGTTTTATTCAGCAATTAAGGGTGTATTCTTATAATTTACCACATTCATAGATTGATGGATTAAATCCTTATAATTATCTCAAAAGACTCATATAAAATATTTACTAAACCCAACATCTAAGCTGGGCACGGTGAGGCTGAGGCAGAAGAACTGGTTGAACCCAGGAGGTGGAGGTTGCAGCGAGCCAAGATCGCGCCACTGCACTCCAGCCTGGGTGACAGAGTGAGACTCAGTCTCAAAACAAAAACCAAAAAACCCAACATCTATTGACTAAACACACACAGAACAACAACAAAAACCTTAGTAATCCATGGGTAGGAGAAACTCCCTTAACCTAATGTAAAGTATTTGTAAAATCTGATAGCATCTCTTACATTTACTGGCAAAATGTTGAAAAGGTTTAAGATTGAAAACAAAACGAGAAGGCTTGTTATCTCCACTTTTATTCAACATTTTATTGGCGACCCTAAGAAATCGTAACCATTGTGAACTATTGGTGGAATTCAAAATGGTGCAACTTTTGTGGAAAGTAGTATGGTGGTTCCTCAAAAAGTTAAAAGCAAAACTACCATATAATCCAGCAATTCCACTTATGGGTATATAACCAAAAGAATTGAAAGCAGGGTCTCAAAGAGATGTTTGTACACTCATGTTCATAGCAACGCTATTCATGATAACCAAGGGACAGAAGCATCCTACATGTCCATTGGCAGTTTTCAGGGGCTGGAGGGAGGGGGCAAAGGGCATTTTTCAAATACTTCCGGCTCTATGAGATGAAGCGTTCCTGAGATTGGTTGCGCAACAACATGAATATACGTGAATATACTTCACCCTACTGAACTGTACTTGTTTATTTATTTATTTTTATTTATGTATTTATTTATTTTTTTGAGACGGAGTCTTGCCGTCACCCAGGCTGGAGTGCGGTGGTGTGATCTCAGCTCACTGCAACTTCCGTCTCCCGGGTTCAAGTGATTCTCCTGCCTCAGCCTCCCAAGTAGCTGGGATTACAGGTGCGCCCACCACCACGCCCAGCTAATTTTTTGTATTTTTAGTAGAGACAGCGTTTCACCATGTTGACCAGGCTGGTCTTGGACTCCTGACCTCAGGTGATCCACCCACCTCTGCCTCCCAAAGTGCTGGGGTTACAGGCGTGAGCCACTGTGCCTGGCCTGAACTGTATATATATATATTTTTATGACAATAAAAGCAGTGAACTTTATTCTTGCTGTAGAACTTGCCTCAACCTTGTTAGTACCTACATTATTTTCTATACCATGAATATTCTATATCATCTAGCTTTTCTTTTTTTTTTTTGTTTTCTTTTTTTTTTTAATTGATCATTCTTGGGTGTTTCTCGCAGAGGGAGATTTGGCAGGGTCATAGGACAATAGTGGAGGGAAGGTCAGCAGACAAGTGAACAAAGGTCTCTGGTTTTCCTAGGCAGAGGACCCTGAGGCCTTCCGCAGTGTTTGTGTCCCTGGGTACTTGAGATTAGGGAGTGGTGATGACTCTTAACGAGCATGCTGCCTTCAAGCATCTGTTTAACAAAGCACATCTTGCACCGCCCTTAATCCATTTAACCCTGAGTGGACACAGCATATGTTTCAGAGAGCACAGGGTTGGGGGTAAGGTCATAGATCAACAGGATCCCAAGGCAGAAGAATTTTTCTTAGTACAGAACAAAATGAAAAGTCTCCCATGTCTACTTCTTTCTACACAGACACAGCAACCATCCGATTTCTCAGTCTTTTCCCCACCTTTCCCCCTTTTCTATTCTACAAAACCGCCATTGTCATCATGGCCCTGAACTGTACATTTTTAAATGATTGAGCGTTGCACTCCAGCCTGGGCAACAGCGAGACCCTGTCTCTAAAATAATAATAATAATAATAAAATGATTGCGATGGTGAATTTTATGCTATGTATGTTTTATCACAACTTATAAAAAAAGAGCAGGGCTGCTGTATACAAAATATGTTTATAAAATAACTAGGAATAAGAACAGACATATAAATCCTTTATGGAGAAGAATATGAAACTTTATTGAAAGACATTAAAGAAGATTTAAATACATGGGGAAATGAACGCAGTTATGGAAAGGAATGGTCAGTATGCAAAGATGTCACTTCTCTCCAGAATTATCTATAGATTTGATCAGTTCCCATGAAAATCCCAACAGGATTTTTTGGGTGGTAAATGACAAACTGATTCTAAAACTTAAGTGGAAAGTGCAAAGGGCCGAAGATAGTGAACACAACCCTAAAGAAGAATGTAGGTCTGGGGCACTTGCACTTCCTGAAAAGACAGG